>NC_000017.11:1400201-1551717 GCF_000001405.40 Homo sapiens | reverse complement strand
GATTTTGAAAAGAGATGGTGAAGTTGGTATTTTAGGTAGAAGGGACCAATTGTTTCCTCAAGACTAAGTTGGTCCAACCAAACTGACAGAGACGAGGTCTCTACATATGAAAGATGGAACCTGGCCGGGTGCTTCGGGGGCTCACGCCTGTAATCCCAGCACTTTGGGAGGCCGAGACGGATGGATCACTTGAGGTCAGGAGTTTGAGACCAGCCTGGGCAACATAGCGAGACTCCATCTCTACAAAAAATAAACAAAATTAGGCTGGTGTGGTGGCGAGTGTCTGTAGTCCTGTCTACTCAGGAGGCTGAGGTGGAAGGATCACCCGAGCCCAAGAGGTCAGGGCTGCAGTAAGCCATGGTCACGCCACTGCACTCCAGCCTGGGCCACAGAATGAGATCCCGCCTGTCTCTTACAAAAAAAAAAAAAGAAAAAAAAGAAAAAGAAAAGGCCAGCAGTGACTGCCACCACTACCTCTCCCCATGGTGACAAGAGAAGCTTTACTGTGTCAGCCATCTGGCTGCCCAAAGCAGAAAGCAGAGCTCCCCTGCAGTACTCTCACTCGCCCTTCTTATCGCATCAGGCCCCGCTGACTCCGCCCCGCAACACTCTCACTCGCCCTTCGTGTCCCATCAGGTCCCGCTGACTCCGCCCCGCAATACTCTCACTCGCCCTTCGTGTCCCATCAGGTCCCGCTGACTCCGCCCCGCAACACTCTCACTTGCCCTTCGTGTCCCATCAGGTCCTGCTGACTCCATCTCCTCAGCGTCTCCAACATGTCCCTTCCTTGCCACCTCTTGCCTGGATTACTACAGCAGCTTCTAACGAGTCTCCCTGCCTTTCAGTTCTCCGCACCGCTTCAAGTGTTCAGTCTGGATGGTCTGTCACTCCCAGCGCCAAAACTGCTGACGGCTTCCCTTTGCCTTCAGGACGAAGTCCGTGCTGTCTGACATAACTTATAGGACCTTTTAGCCAGCCTGGGCAACATAGCAAGACCCTGTCTCTACCAGAAAATACAAAAATGAGCCAGGCATAGTGGTGTGCACCTGTAGTCCCAGCTACTTGGGAGGCTGAGGTGGGAGGATCACCTGAGCCCAGGAAGTCAAGGCTGCCAGTGAGCCATGATCACACCACTGCACTCCAGCCTGGGCCACAGAGTGAGACCCTGTCTCAAAAAAAAAACAAAAAAATCTTTTAGGATCCAGCTTCAGGTGTCTCCTTGAATTCCCCACCTTGTACCTGCACCGGTTACTCTGAACTTGTCCCTCTTTTCTCCAGCTTTTCCCACCCCACTCCCATCTGTCTCTTAGCTTAGCCCCACTCATTGTCCCATGTGTTGGTTCATCCTGACTTTCCTCGCAGAGCCTGCCCGGTGCACTGCATGTCCCCCACTGTGTTCTCACAGCACTCCGCCACCCAGGGCCCTGTGCCCACCGCATTATGGCATGAACTTACAGTGTTGTGCTTGGCCTTGTCTAGTTACACGCCCCAGTAGACCGGAAACTCCTTGAGGGTGGGAGCCACATCTGTTTGGTTTCTCTGTGTGTCCCCCTGCCTGGACCTAGAAATACTCGCCTGAATGGGGATGGCAGTGAGTTCGTGAATCACAGAGGCCGCCCCAAGTGCTCCAGGTTAGCTCTCTGCTCTAGTTTGCTCTTCTTTCTTAGGCCTGAGGCACTAAAGCTGATGAGGTTGCCAGAGCTTGCCAAAGACTGGACAGATTATCTGTTAGAAACCAAGGACGGCTGGGCGCGGTGGCTCACGCCTGTAATCCCCGCACTTTAGGAGGCTGAGGCAGGCAGATTGCCCGAGGTCAGGAGTTCGAGACCAGCCTGGCCTACATGACAAAACCCCATCTCTACCAAAAATACAAAAATTAGCTGGGCGTGGTGGCGCATGCCTGTAGTCCCAGCTACTTAGGAGGCTGAGGAAGGAGGATTGCTGGAACCCAGGAGATGGAGGAAGCAATGAGCTGAGGTCGTGCCACTGCACTCCAGCCTGGCGACAGAGCAAGGCTCCATCTCAAAAAACAAAAACAAACAAAAAAAAGGAAAAGGAATATATGTACCATTTTCATTTTAATTTTAAAAAATCTTTCTAGGCCAGGCACGGTGGCTCACGCCACTGTAATCTCAGCACTTTGGGAGGCTGAGGCGGGCAGATCATGAGCTCAGGAGATTGAGACCATCCTGTCTAACATGGCGAAACCCTGTCTTTACTAAAAATACAAAAAATTAGCCGGGCGTGGTGGCGGGAACCTGTAGTCCCTTCTACTCGGGAGGCTGAGGCAGGAGAATCTCTTGAACCTGGGAGGAGGAGCTTGCAGTGAGCCAAGATCGAGCCACTACACTCCAGCTTGGGTGACACAGCAAGACTGTCTCAAAAAAAAAAAAAAAATTCTAAATGTTTTCCTACTCCGTCAAACCACACACCTACCAAAAAAAAAAAAAAAAGCAGGGGGCTTATACTGTACATGTTGTTCTGTAACCTGAGATAAGAATTGAGTAGAAGAGACCGGGCGCGGTGGCTCATGCCTGTAATCCCAGCACCGTGGGAGGCCAAGGTGGGTGGATCACGAGGTCAGGAGTTCAAGACCAGCCTGGCCAACATGGTGAAACCCTGTCTCTACTAAAAATACAAAAATTAGCTGGGCGTGGTGGCGCATGCCTGTAATCCCAGCTACTCAAGAGGCTGAGGCGGGAGAATCGCTTGAACTGGGACCCTGGAGGTGGAGGTTGCAGTTACCCGAGATCGCAGCACTGCACTCCAGCCTGGGCGACAAAGGGAGACTCCGTCTCAAACAAACAAACAAAAAAAAAGAATTGAGTAGAAGAAAATACTTTGTCCTGGGAGGCAAATGGTTCTAGGCCCTCCTGGCCTCTCAGAGCTGATGAAAGCAGATCAGATAATCCTGGATCCCAAACCCAAGTTAGTCGGCTAGTTACCCTGGCCCTAAACCGAGACTGGTTCATGCTTGGAGGCATCTCCTTTGTGTTTTTCTCGCACCTTGTAGTATAATGCCCTGGGCCCAGCAAGCTCTGGAAAAATGTGTAATGCTGATGGAAGGGGTGATGAGCCACAGCAGGTAGCCTGGGGTCTCTTGTGTGGTCCTGTTTCTGGTGGCTGGTGGGGCACGTCGTGGGTGTGTGTTAGGAGCCAGCCAAGGTGGGGTGTCAGGCTCTCATACGTAACTTCTCACTCCCACCAGTAACCTGCTCATTGCATGGAAACTTGCTTGTCAGCTCCCCATGAAGAAGCTGGATCTGAAAAGCCTCTTGTCTCCTTTCTCTCTACCATTTCTCTTTATACCCCTTTTTTTCCCCGCTATAGCAAAGTACCCACGTTTGTTCGAATGCTGGCCCCAGAGGGAGCCCTGAATATACACGAGAAAGCCTGGAATGCTTACCCCTACTGCAGAACCGGTGAGTGCAGCCGGGGCCACGTCGGCCAGGCAGGGGCGGGCAGCAGAGCTGTGGGTCCCACCTGCGTGTTCCGGATTAGGCCAGGGAAAGGCTCGGGCTGGGTCCCTTCCGGCTGATGGTGGGTATCAGTGCTGTGTCCAGCACAGCTTGGTGGACAGCAGGGCGAGAAGCACCGGTCGTCACGGCCTGAGAGCACAGAGCCAGTCTCTCACTTGGGGATGCTGCGATTTTGATTATTGTTATTCATTATAACATTTTAGTATATTTTTCTAGTCATTTTTATTTATTTATTTATTTTTTGGGAGATGGAGTCTCGCTCTGTTGCCCAGACTGGAGCACAGTGGCGTGATCTCGGCTCACTGCAACCTCTGGCTCCCGGGTTCAAGCAATTCTGCTGCCTCAGCCTCCCGAGTAGCTGGGACTACAGGCGCATACCGCCACGCCTGGCTAATTTTTTGTATTGTAGTAGAGACAGAGTTTCACCATGTTGCCCAGGCTGGTCTCGACCTCCTGACCTCAGGTTATCCGCCCACCTTGGCCTCCCAAAGTGCTGGGATTATAGGTGTGAGCCACTGTGCCCAGCCCAGACACATTTTCTCGAAAAATTTTAGATCATTACTATTTATTTTATTATTATTTTTTTTTTGAGATGGAGCCTGGCTCTGTTGCCTAGGCTGGAGAGCAATGGCACAATCTTGGCTCACTGCAAACTCCGCCTCCTGGGTTCAAGCGATTCTCGTGCCCCAGCCATACAAGTAGCTGGAATTACAGGCATACACCACCATGCCCGGCTAATTTTTGTATTTTTAGTAGAGACGGTGTTTCACCATGTTGGCCAGGCTGGTCTCGAACTCCTGACTTCAAGTGATCCACCTGCCTCGGCCTCCCAGAATGCTGGGATTACTAATATGATTACTAATTTTTTAATTGCTTTTTTTGTCTCACTCTGTTGTCCAGGCTGGTGTCCAGTGGCACAACCACAGCTCACTGCAGCCTTAACCTCCCAGGCTCAAGTGATCCTTCTGCCTCAGCCTCCCAAATACCTGGGACTATAGGCATATGCCATCATGTCCGGCTAGGTTTTTTTTTTTTTTTTTTTGGAGAGATGGGGTCTCACCATGTTGCCCAGGCTGGTTTCAAATTCCTGGGCTCAAGCGATCCTCCCACCTTGGCCTCCCAAAGTGCTGGCATTACAGGCATGAGCCACTGTGCCTGGCCTAAGTTTCTCATTTTTCTTCAGTGAATGGATAACATTTTCCTTGTCACTAAGGTGTCTGGTGTTTTGTTTTGTTTTGTTTTTTAATTTATAATAGCTGCATAGTATTCCATCATATGAATGAACTGTGGCTTCTGCTGAAACAGCATGTTCTGTAATTGAGGATACAGGTATAATTATTTTCTTAATCTTGGCCAGTCTCCTGCATAGAGTTTCTTGAAAGGAAAGGAAAGATTTGAACCTCCACAGAGAACTTTCTATTCTAGTCCAGACATTCTTAAATTTCTTTCGAGTGATTCAGATTCTTAGCCTTCCAAGATTCCTAGGTTTCCAGGGCCATCTAGGAATAGACCTGTTGGGAGGGCCTAAGCTGGTACTGATTCATAACCCTGGGGAGTCCTGAGAGGTCCCCTGGCACTTGTCTGTGAGGTAGGTGACCTTTCCTCCCACCAGCCTCCATGTGTGGGTACAGACAGTGTTGGGCTGCGGGGTCCTCCCACCAGCCTCTGCTGACCTGTCCTCCTGCACTTGCTTTCTTTGTTGGCACCTGGTACTCCCTAGAGTCTGATGAGTCTGGGATCCTTACGTGACGCATATCACCCTTATCCTGTGGACTTTGGGAATGACTGCAATCCAGAATACGGGGTCATTGCTCTTTCCAACCCTCAGTGGCCCCACACAGGTTCAGGGACCTTGTATCAGGAGATTTGCGGTCATTGGTGGGGTCTGGGATGTGTAACCCTTAGAGTTTTCTTGCTGTAGCTGAAGCACAGCCCTCCCTACTCCTTAAGCACTGGGCTGGAAGTTAGATTCTTGGAAATGAGGGATGCACAGATGTTCTTAAAAGACAGGGTCGGGCACGGTGGCTCATGCCTGTAATCCTAGCACTTTGAGAGGCTGAGGCAGGCGGATTACTTGAGGTCAGGAGTTCAAGACCGGCCTGGCTAACTTGGTGAAACCCCGTTTCTACTAAAAATACAAAAAGTTATCCGGGCATGGTGGTGCATGCCTGTAACCCCAGCTACTTGGGAGGCTGAGGCAGGAGAATCGCTTGAACCTGGGAGGCGGAGGTTACAGTGAGCCGAGATCGTGCCATTCCACTCCAGCTTGGACAACAAGAGCAAAACTCCGTTTATTAAAAAAAAAAAAAAAAAAAAAAAAAGGCAGTATGCAGTGTGGCTGGGTGTGTCTGGTCTAGGGCCAAAGGTGGATTTTCTTGATGTCTAAGAGAGTCGCAGTGAGCATGTGTTGCAAGTGTGGACATCTCCCTGCCTGGGGCAGGGTTCTGGGTACACAGCTTGTGCCAACTGAGAGATGCCCCTGTTCTCTGTGTCATTCTGGGAAGAGTGTTGCGGCTGACATGGGCATTTTTCTGCACGTTAAATGTTCATATATTGATCCTTGGCCAAAAGAAAAGAAAAACATAATTTCTGTATCAGCACCATGCGCTAACCAATTGCGCCACTGGAGCTCCACTGGAAAAATGTAATTTCTAAATATTTCATGGAGACAGGGAGTAGGGGAAGGAAGGTTGGTTTCCTCAGTGGGTGCTGACCTCCTATTCAGGATACACCTTCACACAGAATGGATATGTTGAATCTTAGATCTGTTTAGTTAGACACTTGCTCTTTTAAAATAAGAGATACCAGCAGGCAAGGAAGGCTACTTTCCAGTTCCCTCTGGGGGCTGATGGGAGAGAGGTTATTAGTTCAGACATCTTAGCTTGGCCTCAGTAGATCCAAGTTTGAAGGAAGATAGATGAAGGAGCATGAAGTAAAATGCCTCATGGCTTTTGGAAGGCTCTTCCTTTCTCTGAGCGGAGTGAAAACAGATTGGGACACCCTGGTAATGATCAGCTCTTGCTGTTCTTAGCTTGTTTCCCTCTCTCTTTTTCCCTTGAAGCTGATGGGATGGGCTGGAAGTGAGGAGAGGGTAAGATAGGAGTTGGTCTGTGAATGAATGAAAGTGGGAAAAGGAAAAGAAAGTTTGTTTCTCCTTCCATCTCTTCCTGGAACTATAGTCCTCGGCTGGATACAGTATCACTAAGCCATGCTTTTATTTATTTATTTTAAATTTTTTTATTTTTTGAGACAGAGTCTCATTCTGTCACCCAGGCTGGAGTACAGTGGTGCAATCTCGGCTCACTGCAACCTCCGCCTGCTAGGTTTAAGCAATTCTCCTGCCTCAGCCTCCCAACAGACAGTGTTGGGCTGTGGGGTCCTCCTCCTGTCAGCCTCCATGTGTGGGTACAGTGCCTGGGATTACAGGCATGCGCCACCACACCCGGCTAATTTTTATATTTTTAGTAGAAACGAGGTTTCACCATGTTGGCCAAGCTGGTCTCGAACTCCTGACCTCAGGTGATCCGCCCGCCTTGGCCTCCCAAAGTGCTGGGATTCCAGGCGGGAGCCACCGTGCCCGGCCCTGCCATGCATTTAAAATGCCTTATTAGTCTCATTTGGAAATCTCTGCTCTCCCACTGCAAAAGATTTCCTGCGGCTTTTCTGTGTACTTTGGGTTACAGTTTGAACAACAGGGAATACTGGAATGCAGAGGTGTTTGAGGGCCTGGGAGGGCTGGAGAAGGTTTGGGGAGGATTGTTTGATCACCCAAGTTTGCATGAAAAGGTCAGCAAGGGCTGTCACCCTCATGATTTCGGAAAACCAGGTTGTCAGAACTGAGTGGATCTGTCTCTCGGGGTCTCACAAAGATGAATGTGTAAAAACCCCAGCGCCAGTCTATGAAGTTACACTAAAACGCAGAATTGCTACCGAAACGGGACATTCCCATTCGATGATCAGGGCATTCTTTTCTTGTGGATTCTTCTACATGAGAAACCAAATTATAATCAGAATGCCAATGTGTGGCAAAGAATGTCCGCTTGGCTGAGTGATCAGATTCTTGGGTCCATTGATGAGCACGTCTCGGAGAGGCCGAACTAGGAGAGACTTTCTTAGAGGAGATAGATTCAAAAAAGGTGCTTAGTTGGAGAAGTTTAGTGGCTGGTGTCATCAGACCAGGCCATCCTGGCACTGCTGCCCCCACTCCAGGGATGGCGCTGCCAGAGATGCCACATGCGGGGGCTGGGCCTCCGGGGCCCACCACGGCACAGGAGAATTTCTGCTGACGAGATACTATACCCATGATTTCCTTTTCTTATTCTAACGTGGTTTTCTTGAAGCTGCTAACAGGGCAGTTACTTCAGTGTAGGCCTTTCAGTTGTAATCTTAATCTGGTGCTTCCTTCTAAGTGTCTTTCGTTGGGTATGGGGGAATTACTGACAGTCTTTTGGGTTATTTCTGTGCGTGATAGCTCTTACTCTTTATATTTCAACTTTGCCTCATTTTGTGCTCCGGGGTCACCTTAACTTCAGTTCTGGAGTTTGTTACCCCACACACTCTACAAACATGGCAGTGGGGCAGCCAGCAGAAGTGGACATAGGTCCTAAATTCAGAGGGTACAGAATGAACCGGGCGGTCTCAGGAGCAGAGCTAGTCTGTTCCCCAGTGACATGAGAGGTGCAGTCATTTTCTCTGATAAATAATTGAACCATGCTTTCTAAGGGGTTCCCATTACAATGAGCAGGAGTGCAGAGCCTGGGAGGTTTGATTACAGCGAGAGGAAGGGTGCAGGAGGCAGATACAGTGCATGGCCAAAGCACCCTGCTCTGTGCCCCGGGAGGTAGAGGCTGGGGTAGGGGTGGGAGGCGCCGGAGAACGCTCTGATGCCAGAGTGATGAGTTGCGGCACCTCTGCTGATCAGAGCTGGTCCCTGTCAGTGCCCTGCTGAAAAGAATCCCAAGAAGCCCATAGCGGCGTCGCTTTAATTAAATTCCCTGTTTGGTTTTTTGGGATGTTTGTCTGAGTGAAATTTGAGGGTTGGTGCGTTAAGGTATTTCTGACTCACTGGGGCTTGGAGGTGACCGTGGAATAAGCCACAGGGAGTAAAGTACACTCTGCCATTCGTCCTCCTTGTGGGGGGTGGGGGGCAGATATTTCTTCATCTTCATTAATCTTTTTCTCTCTTCTTTCCATGTCCTTGCCTCGGAGCAGTTATTACAGTAAGTATTGTCAAGGGGGTTGGAACTGTAGATGATGTATAAGAACAGGAGAGAGAAAAATGTAACTGCACTGGTGGTCTTGGGTGTTCTTTCCCTTGGCTGATGTTTGGAGTTGCTGAGGCTCAGTCCTGTCAGTGGACTAACAAGGAACCTGTTAACTGGCATGATGACCTCCTGCTTTAAGCTGCATTGGCCTGCGGCTCCATTAAGTGCATCCTGGCTGTGGGTCTGACATGGACACAGTGGCTCGAGGCCCTGCCTCCCCAGGTCACACCTTTTCAAGGTTGTAGAGAGAGCTCCATTCAACTGACCTGACCGACATCCCTTCCCCATCTGTGCATCTGTTGAGTCCACTGAGCACTGATCCTTGGCAAAGTCGTGAAGTCAGCGGGGTTTCTCTTCCACAGCCGTCCCCTCTGTCATTGCCCACCCGCCCACCATTCAGCACACTCATCTGAGTGCCTTGTCCCTGCCGGTAAACACTGGCTGTCTCTGGGAAACTGGTTCCTGCTGAGGCGTTAATGGGTGAATGTGTTCCTCCTTTGAGAAGTTCCAATTTTTAAGAAGCAGGAAGGGAGGGAGGGAGGCAATAATTAGCTTGAAGGGTTCAGTTACTGAGAAGAAAACTTAAGGCCTTAGCCACAGGCTAGTTGGAGGGAAAGGGGCCATGGTGAGTATCTTCGATGGGTTAGGAAGTCTTCTGTGCTCTTTCCACACTGCTTACTACCCAGAGTGGCTAAATGCATGGATTCTGAAGTCAGACGAAACTGTTTTGAGACCCAACTCTGTCGTGATCTCTGTGACTTTTTTTTTTTTTTCGAAACGGAGTCTTGCTGTTGTTTCCTAGACTGGAGTGCAGTGGTGCAATCTCGGCTCCCTGCAGCTTCTGCCTCCTGGGTTCAGGCGATTCTCCTGCCTCAGCCTCCCGAGTAGCTGGGATTACAGGCACCCGCCACCATGCCTGGATAATTTTTGTATTTTTAGTAGAGACGGGTTTCACCACTGTTGGCCAGACTGGTCTCGATCTTGTGACCTCAAGTGATCCGCCCGCCTCGGCCTCCCAAAGTGCTGAGATGACAGGCGTGAGCCACCATGCCTGGCCCGATCTCTGTGACTTTGGTTAAGTCACCTAACCTCTTTGAACCTCATCTGTAAAATGAGGGTGATTCTACAGAGCTCTCAGGCTGGGGTGAGGATTGAATGGGATAATACATGCCTAGTGTGTCGTGGGCTCCCAGTCAAGTTAACTGTTATTACAAGGCAGAGGCTGGAATCTCCTAGCTGCCCATGATCCAGTAATGCCCATCTCCAGTAATGGGAGATGGTTACTCTCAACTGTGAACCTAGTGACTTTCATGTATTTTTTTTCCTTCTTCCAGAATGAGTACATGAAAGAAGACTTTCTGATTAAAATTGAAACCTGGCACAAACCAGATCTTGGCACGCAGGAGAATGTGAGTAGTAGTTCCCAAAAGCCCCAGGGGTGAGGTCTTGAGTCTCTGCCTTGTAGCCTCTCCAGGGCTACCATGGGGTCCTCTCTGTGGTCCTCTTTTGCCTGGCCGGGAAGGCAGTGGCCTCTGCCTAGACCTATCTTACCAGCATGGGATTGCTATGTCTCTGATTTGCAAAATGTGATCTCCGGAACTTTTTATGGGGCCTTCTCGTACTGCTTGGATTGGTGCAGTTCCTGGTACATGGGAGCTATATCTTTAAAAGACCAAAATTACAGTTTTCTATAGAGCACAATTTGCAGTAACTCCCAAAAAATAAAATACACCTATCCTTTAGCATTTCCATGCCCAAGAATTTAGACAGTTATTTTCACATGTGTGAAATAACATATATACAAGGAGACTCATTGCAGTCTTCTTTGTGTAGCCAAAGATCAAAAACAATGTAAGACCATCCTGGGCAACATAACAAGACTCTGTCTCTACCAAAAATAAAAAAAGAATTAGCTGGGCATGGTGGTATGTGCCTGTGGTCCCAGCCACTCTGGAGGCCGAGGCTGGAGGATCATTTGAGGCTGGGAAGTCAAGGCTGCAGTGAGCTGTGACTGCACCACCACACTCCAGCCTGGGCAACAGAGTGACACCCTGTCTCCAAAAACAAAAAAACAACATAAGAGCCCGTTAGACCGGGTGCGGTGGCTCACGCCTGTAATCCCAGCACTTTGGGAGGCCGAGGCAGGCGGATCACGAGGTCAGGAGATCGAGACCATCCTGGCTAACACGGTGAAACCCTGTCCCTACTAAAAATACAAAACAGCCAGGCTTCATGGCGGGCACCTGTAGTCCCAGCTACTCAGGAGGCTGAGGCAGGAGAATGGCGTGAACCCGGGAGTCGAAGCTTGCAGTGAGCCGAGATCACGCCACTGTACTCCAACTTGGGTGACAGAGCGAGACACTGTCTTAAAAAAAAAAAAAGAGAAAAAAAAGGCCCGTTAGTAGGACAACGTTAAATGCATTGTGGTTCAGCCAAATAGTGACATCCTTGCAGCCATGGAAAAACCAATAGAGAGCAGTCTTCAAGTTGACTGTTCAGTGAAGGATGGAAGTTATGAAACAAGGTGTGTGCATGCCGCCCTTCATATTAAAAGAAAAATCCACGCACATGGATGTTTGTATGTAGGATCTCTTAGAGGTGGCTGTTACTAGACTGGGGACGAGGGACAAGCAAGAAGAGGAGTTACTCTAGTTACTCTATATTGTATCCTTTTGTAATTTTGAATTTGTGTCATAATTTTGTATTATGTGCATGTACAGCCTGATCAAAATAATCAGCATGTTGCTAAACAGACGCCATCTCTAGAAGGGTTTACAGTCTTTACAGCGGGTCAGCATGTTGCTAAACAGACACCATCTCTAGAAGGGTTTACAGTCTGTACAGCCGGGAACACATGGAAATGGTGTGGGCACCGTAAACATCCGGAAGGCGTTTTGACCTGCAGAAGTGACGTTTACCCTCAATAGTCAGAGCATTCGTTCTCAGTCATGTCACTTAAAATCCAGCGGGGGCTGGGCGGGAGGCCAAGGCGGGTGGAACACTTGAAGTCAGTAGTTTGAGATCAGCCTGGCCAACATGGTGAAACCCTGTTTCTACTAAAAATACAAAAATTAGCTGGGCGTGGTAGCCCACGCCTGTAATCCCAGATACTCGGGAAGCTGAGGTAGGATAATCGCTTGAACCCGGGAGGCAGAGTTTGCAGTGAGCCGAGATCGCGCCATTGCACTCCAGCCTGGGCGTCGCAGCAAGACTCCATCTCAGACAAACAGACAATCCAGCTGGGTTCAGTGTTGTGCACCTATAGTCCCAGCTCCTCAGGAGGCTGAGACAGGAGGATCACTCAGGCCCAGCTCCTCAGGAGGCTGAGACAGGAGGATCACTCGGGCCCAGCTCCTCAGGAGGCTGTGACAGGAGGATTGCTCGGGCCCAGCTCCTCAGGAGGCTGAGACGGGAGGATCACTCGGGCCCAGCTCTTCAGGAGGCTGTAACAGGAGGATCACTCAGGCCCAGGCAGGAGACTGAGAGAGGAGGATCACTCAGGCCCAGCTCCTCAGGAGGCTGTGACAGGAGGATCACTAGGGCCCAGCTCCTCAGGAGGCTGTGACAGGAGGATCACTCGGGCCCAGCTCCTCAGGAGGCTGTGACAGGAGGATCACTCGGGCCCAGCTCCTCAGGAGACTGAGACAGGAGGATCACTCGGGCCTAGGCAGGAGGCTGAGACAGTAGGATCCCTCGGTCCCAGGCAGGAGGCTGAGGCAGGAGGATCACTAGGAGCCTGAGGCAGGAGGATCACTCCGGCCCAGGAGTTCATGCTAGAGTGTGCTGTGATCACTCCTGTGGATAGCCATTGCCTGAGAAACACGGTGAGACCCCATCTCTTAAAAAAAAAAATCCATTCTCCCATTTCTTTGGATAATTTTGTATGTAATTGTATAATTACTTATCATTAGGAATCTTACATCTGTGGCTATGGGAATGGCAGTTCCTAGGTGTCCATTCTGGCTAAAGGATATTTTATAACTGACAAAAACTGCATAGTGGTTCCCCACTTGTTCCCACAGGTGCATAAGCTGGAGCCTGAGGCGTGGAAACACGTGGAAGCCGTATATATAGACATTGCAGATCGAAGCCAAGTGCTCAGCAAGGTAGGATCCGTTTAAAGACGTGGGTGGCCTTCGAGACGCAGAAATGACTTCTCAATGCTAAAGAAACCAGGAAACCATACCCAACTTGGCACAAAAGGAAATTCTGATGTGTCTTGCTTGTTTTATTTTTAAAAGTGAGTATTAGGAGATTTCTTGTCTTGAGTTGGGGATGCCACCAGAAAATTAGTGGCCCAAATTTGTGTGCCCTGTTTGGCCTCTGAAAATTATTACTGGACTAAGTAGGTATTGTAGCTAGAGTATTTTGCCCTGCTAAAATGATGCTTAGCCTGAAAAATCGGAGCACCACTTCTCAAATTTATTTTTCCAACTCAGTAATTAAAAAAACATTTACTTCCTGCCTACTGGGTTGTGGAATATTGTCAGGATCTCTGGGTTCCAGGTGAGGGATGCAGAATGCAGGGAAAGACAGGTCCCCTGCCCTCCAGAAGTCGGTGGCGCCTTTTCAGAGTAACACACACTGGAGCAGACCCCTGGAAAAGGACAGTCCACTGGTGGACCATGACCTTGGTCAAAAGAGGGACCAGGTCTGGCTTGCTCACTGTTTTGCACCCAAGAAGTATTTGCTCAGGGAATGAGGGGGTTAGATTCCTCCTCATTCATTACCATTCTTACTAGGCAGAGGCCTCATTGGGATTAAAAGACAGGAATGTAACTCTCTGCCCACTGATAGGGAATGTGTGTTTGCTCTTTGTATCCCAGGGGTGTGATACCTCTTTCCTGTGGTCACTCTGCACTTAAGATATTTTGGGGCCTGGCACGGTGGCTCACGCCTGTAGTTCCAACACTTTGGGAGGCCAAGGTGACCGATCATCTGAGGTCCTGAGTTCGAGACCATCCTGCCCAACATGGTGAAACCCCATCTCTACTAAAAATACAAAAATTAGCCAGGCCTGGTGGTACGTGCCTGTAATCCCAGCTACTTGGGAGGCTGAGGCAAGAGAATCGCTTGAACCCGGGAGGCAGAGGTTGCAGTGAGCAGAGATCACACCATCGCACTCCAGCCTGGGCGACACAGCGAGACTCCATCTCACACACACACACACACAAAGTTATTTTGATTTGTGCATTTCCGAAAAGATATAAAAACCATCTTGTGCTTCCTTGCCCAATATCCCAACCCCCACCTTCAAAACGTTGGTGGATTTTTCAAAAAGCTTTTTATGGAAGTTTAACATATACAGCAAAGTGAATATAAGTATGCAGCTTGATGAATTTTCTCAAACTGGATACTAGCAAAAAGTATGATTCTTTGAGTATTTTGTCAACTCTGGTTGATCTGTGTGAGTGGAGGGAAGCAGTGATGGTGAATATTTATTTTTTAAAGCACACATAAATATAATCTCCTCAGAGGCTGGGCACATTGGCTCACGCCTGTAATCCCAGCACTTTGGGAGACCGAGGCAGGCATATCACTTGAGGTCAGGAGTTTGAGACCAGCTTGGCCAACATGGTGAAACCCCGTCTCTACTAAAAATACAAAATTAGGGCCAGGTGCGGTGGCTCACACCTGTAATCCCGGCACTTTGGGACGCCAAGGTGGGCAGATCACGAGGTCAAGAGATCGAGACCATCCTGGCCAACATGGTGAAACCCTGTCTCTACTAAAAATACAACAGATTAGCCAGGCGTGGTGGCAGGTGCCTGTAATCCCAGCTACTTAGGAGACTGAGGCAGGAGAATCGCTTGAACCCAGGAGGCGGAGGTTGCAGTGAGCCGAGATCATGCCTTTGCACCAGCCTGGGCAAAAAGAGTGAAACTGTGTCAAAAAAAAAAAATACAAAATTAGCTGGGCGTGGTGGCGCATGCCTATAATTCCAGCTACTTGGGAGGCTGAGGCAGGAGGATCACTGGAACTCAGGAGGCGGAGGTTCCATTGAGCTGAGATTGTGCCACTGCACTTCATCCTGGGCGACAGAGCGAAACTCTATCTGAAAAAAAAAAAAAAAAAAAAAATCGGCCGGACATAGTGACTCATGCCTGTAATCCCAGCACTTTGGGAGGCTGAGGCATGTGGATCACCTGAGGTCAGGAGCTTGAGACCAGCCTGGCCAACATGGTGAAACCCCGTCTCTACAAAAATACAAAAATTACCCTGGCGTGGTCGCAGGCGCCTGTAATGCCAGCTACTCAGGAGGCTGAGGCAGGAGAATCGCTTGAACCCAGGAGGTGGAAGTTGCAGTGAGCTGAGATCGTGCCACTGCACTCCAGCCTGGCCAACAGAGTGAGATGCTGTCTCAAAAAAATAAAATAAAAAAATAAGGCAGGGCGCGGTGGCTCACGCCTGTAATCCCAGCACTGTGGGAGGCCAAGGTGGGCGGATCACGAGGTCAGGAGATCGAGACCATCCTGGCTAACACGGTGAAACCCCGTCTCTACTAAAAATACAAAAAAAATTAGCCGGGCATGGTGGCGGGCACCTGTCGTCCCAGTTGCTGGGGAGGCTGAGGCAGGAGAATGGCGTGAACTTGGGAGATGGAGCTTGCAGTGAGCCGAGATCGCGCTACTGCACTCCAGCCTGGCCAACAGAGCGAGACTCCCTCTCAAAAAAAAAAGAAAAAAAAAAAAAACTTCTCAGCTTTGGGAAATACTTTATGAGAGAGAGAAATTTATTATCTTTGTTATTTTTGTTAAGTAGATGCTATAAGTTTGTATCTCCTGAGCCCACATTAGTCAATGTAGAGGGACAGCTGAAAATTAAACTTTTGTTGTGGTTAATTAACACAGGAAATTGACTGCATTATAAATCTGTGAAGTGAGACTCACCAGTAGTGGATAGGTTCCATACACTGAACATTTCCAGTAATGATTTTGTTAAAACAAGCCAGAGGGAGATTGCACTGGAAGATTTAAGGAATGACAGCCGGGTATTCTGAGCGCTGGCTGTATTTTAGAGTCACTTGCAGAGATTTAAAAAAACAAAAAACAAATCTGTGCTGCCGTCACCTGCAGATATTCTCAGTCACTGGGTTTTAGTTGGAGTGACTCAAAAATCTGTGTTTTAAAAAGGTCTTCCCTGGTGATCTGGATGCTCACCCCAGGTTGAAAGTCTCTGTCTTCAACACGGTAAATATGTGCCTGCTCAGACAGTCTGGTGATACTTTCACACTGGCAAAATGGAAAACAAACCCTATCGGAGAAAATCACATAGAACTCTCCTCTGAGGCTAATGTAAACAGTTCTACATCTTGTTTATAACATTTTCCCATATTTGCTTTGTGCCATCAGCATCAAGATCTGGTATGGAGTGAATGCTAATGAAAGATCTGTTCTCCCCATCTCTCACTCCCTCTCCCACTCCCCTCCAACCCCAATTCCACAATTTCTCTCAGGATTACAAGGCAGAGGAAGACCCAGCAAAATTTAAATCTATCAAAACAGGCCGAGGACCCTTGGGCCCCAATTGGAAGGTACCATTCACACCTTCACTGCCAGGGGGCTGGGCAGCATGTGGGTGGGCCGCTCCCTGTGGAGGAGGGGCATGGCTGGGGTGAGCTGGGGACGGCCTGAGGTCTGCCCGTTGTTACTTGCGTACCCATGGGTATGTTTCTAATGCAGCAAGAGCTTGTAAACCAGAAGGACTGCCCATATATGTGTGCATACAAACTGGTGACCGTCAAGTTCAAGTGGTGGGGCCTGCAGAACAAAGTGGAGAACTTCATCCATAAGGTAAGTAGCTCGGCTGAGGCCTTCCCAGTGACTGCGTGTGTGTGTTGTGGGGGGGTGGTGGAGAACTTCATCCATAAGGTGAGTAGCTCGGCTGAGGCCTTCCCAGTGACTGCGTGTGTGTGCGGTGGGGGGTGGTGGAGAACTTCATCCATAAGGTAAGTAGCTCGGCTGAGGCCTTCCCAGTGACTGCGTGTGTGTGCGGTGGGGGGTGTTTGGCCCAGTGAAGAAGATGGCCCAGCCCATGTGGCCTGCATGACAGGGTTGCCAACATGAGCATACCTCACAGTTTGGCGGCTTCCCAGCTGCCCACCTTCCCTTGCACTGAAATGTCTTACGGTTTAATGCTGTCCTTCCAGGGACACCACATGTGACAGGGAAGGAAACTGAGGCAAAAGAAGGCCACAGGAAGGGACTTGCTATGACTGACCTACAGATAAAACTCAGTCTTTCTTTTCTTGCAGCTGAAAGGCAAGAGGTGCTGGGAGCCAGGTTGGCCGGTGCCCTGAATTACTCTGCTGGGCAGGTCTAAGGAGTTTTAGAGCCTTTTAATCCTCCGACATGTTTGAGCCTCACTTGGGCCATATTTCATAGCTGCTGGCCAGTTTTAATCTGGCATTAGACACCAGAGACAGGAAGAAATGTGGCAGTGGTTTGGGGCCCTTGGCTTGCCTAGGAGTTCATGGGCTGCTGTCTTGCTGGTGCTTTGGGCAGAGGGCCTAGTGTGAGGTAGGCATCCTTCTTTCTTGGGGGCTCCCTCCTATGTGAAGCCATACCTGTTAGACACGTGAAGGCAAAGGTCATTGACCCATGGCTGGTCCAGATAACCAGCCGGGCATTACTCCTCCTCCTGTCCGCCCGTCCCCAGTCTAGTGTGGGTATTCGTGTGGAGTGCATGGAGAGAAGGGCTGTGGCAGCAGCCTTTGCCTTCTGCGTTCTAACGTGGTTCCCTCCTTTCTATAGCAAGAGAGGCGTCTGTTTACAAACTTCCACAGGCAGCTGTTCTGTTGGCTCGATAAGTGGGTTGACCTGACCATGGACGACATTCGAAGGATGGAAGAAGAGACGAAGAGACAGCTGGATGAAGTAAGTGGGGGCTCTGGGGGCTCTCAATTAGATAAACAAACGAAGATTAAGGAGACTGTTTTGCTGGGGCGCTTCACCGAGAGCACCATCCTGTAGTTCTGGGAACACGTCAGTGTCTGCTACAGGGACGGTATCCTGGGCAGTACGTGGGCACTATACGGAAGAAAACAGCCTGTGCTCTTGAATTGACAGTTGAGTTGAAGTCTTGGCATACCCACAGAGACAAAAATGGCAGTATGTGCCGAATGCCAAGTGGGTAATACAGCTGCTACAGCGATGCTTCAGAGCCTGGTGGGAAAGAGCGTGCGGGGCTGCAGAGCTGGAGGTGACCCTGGGAGGAGGCAGGCTGGGCTGACCTGTGAATACCATGCACATTACCCACAGAGGACAGCCACAGCGCACGCAGGAGCTGACAGCTGGCGGCTGTCTACGGTCATTTTGAGCTATCAGAGTTGAGAGCTTTTGCTTTTCTTTTTTTGGTCTTGGCGTGGATCGCAGAAGGAGGGTTCCCTGTTCCTTAGGAGCCTAAAGACCCAGCACTTCTCATGCCTCATTTGGAGATGCTGATGCTTCCTTGAGAGGCCCACTCAGAGGAGATTGTCAGTTAGTAACATTCAAGCACTCACTGTGTGCCGTCTACCATTCTGAGGGCCTTTACCTACTGCAGTCTTCACGATACCCCATGAGGAGGCGCTGCTGCTCTCCCTACCCTCAGATGAGGAAGTGGAGGCTCTGAGAGCTCAATGCTGCGGTGCTCTGGGTCACACCGTCTTGCAGGTGATATGGTCAGAGTAAGAGCCCAGGACTCTCTGGCCCTGGAACCACAGCTCTTAATCACTCCCCTGTACTCCTCCCTCTAAATGCAATTTTGGGCCCTCCTGCCATCTTGGAGCTAAAAATATGATAAGGCAGGAAGCTCTGTTTCATAAGAACTGCCATCACTTCTCCCTCCTTGCCCCAGGTGGGGTTGGCATGGAGTTTGGGTATCCAGTAGAGGCATTGCTTTGCAACAGCCCACTCAGCTCTCCTGCAGGGCCTCAGGTGAGAGCCAGGCTTGGGCGCCCATGCTGCCCATGCTGCACGGACGGTGTCTGCTTCACCATGCTGGTCTAGGGCGAAAATTGGGTCCAGAAGTTCTTCCTCTGGAACCCCGCAGGGAACTGTTTTTACCATCCAGAATGACACTTTTCCTGGGCTGACTCACTGGTAAGTGGTGCACTGAGTTGGTTCCTCTTGAAGACAGATGTTTTGGTTATTCATTTAGCTACATTTAGCAGGGAAGTGGCAGGATTTCATTGGGGCACAGTCCCTGATTCTTTCGCTAAGGATCTTTAGGAAGGGGTAGACCTCAGTGTCCAGGGGTCTGGTGATTGTGACTGTGTAAGAGAAGCCTGAGGCTTTTGGTCACCCTAGTCCTGACAAAAAGAAAGGGAAAATGTTAACAAATGAGGAAACATGGAGACTTTCATTGGAGTTTTAGCCTGGAGCTTCAGCCATCCACTGCCTGACAAAGGCCAGCATGACGTATGTTGGGGTTCGTGGAAGTATTTGCTGTCCACCTTTCATTCCTTCGGGTAGAACTCAAATTCTTGGAGCTAGAAGAACTCTCCAGAGGATCTACTGGATCTGCTTTGTTCAGATCCAAACTTTGAGAGCCCTCAGTGTTAGAGAGTTATTTTTTAATCTCTCAGACCCTTTTGAAAATCTTTCTCGGCCAGGCACGGTGGCTCACACCTGTAATCCCAGCACTTTGGGAGGCTAAGGTGGGCAGATCACGAGGTCAGGAGTCTGAGACCAACTTGGCCAACATGGTGAAACCCTGTCTCTACTAAAAATAAAAAAAATTAGCCAGGCGTGGTGGCGGACACCTGTAATCCCAGCTGCTCAGGAGGCTGAGGCAGGAGAATCGCTTGAACCCAGGAGGCAGAGGTTGCAGTGAGCAGAGATCATGCCATTGCACTCCAGCCTGGGCGACAGAGCAAGACTCCGTCTCAAGGAAAAAAAGAAAAAGAAAAGAAAATCTTTCTCCATTCCATGGAGAATCATGCCAAAAGCTTAGGTGATCACTGTCCTCCAGGATAACTGCAAATAGAAGAAACTCTCTTTGGAATTAGAATTTTAAAACTCATCTGCAGTGGGAGAGAAAGCAAGTCCACCTCATTGTGGTACATGTTGTGGTCTCTTCAGCAACTGTGCAGGACCTTTGTGTGCTGACTACGCTTGATGTGGCTTGCCTTTTTATTTTTTTGTCTATCTAAAAATATATGTTTCATCAAAGTTATATTTTGTAGTTTTAAAACTCAGCATCCCAGGATTATGAGTCCCACCCCTCAGAAGCAGCCCCTTGTAATTCCGATGGTTGTTGCTTTTGTTAATTACTTCCATACTTTCAAATAATCTATGCTGATGCTCTTAGTAGTTCTTTTTTTTTTTTAAGAGGTGAGGTTGTGTTCTGTCACCCAAGCTGGAGTGCTTGGCGTCGTGCAGTGGCATGATCATAGCTCACTGCAGCCTCAAACTCCCAGGCTCAAAATCCTTTTAATTTTTCTTATTTATTTATTTTTTTTCTGAGACAGGCTCTCACTCTGTTGCCCAAGCTGGAGTGCAGTGGCACGATCTCGGCTCACTGCAAGCTCCACCTCCCTGGTTCACGCCATTCTCCTGCCTCAGCCTCCCCAGTAGCTGGGACTACAGGCGCCCGCTTGTACTCGGTAGTTACAGTGGGGGGAACCTCTACCTCAGGGTACTCGGTAGTTACATTCGGGGGCGGGAACCTCTACCTCAGGACTTCGAGTCTTTTTTTCACGGAGGCTTGTCACTTTCCCTATAGAGGACTCCCCTGTCTCTTGCTGTGGGAGACAGGCAGGCAGCCAGCATTCTGGAGGCCACACTGAGGAAGGGTCCCAGTGGGCTCATTGTGCCATTGATTCGCTTTAACTTTAATTCCGTCGTATTCTGCCTCTTGCCCACCTTCCCCCTAGCAGCACCTGGGGTCCTGAGGTCAGGGTTCCCTCAGCGCTTCAGAGAGTGAACCTCCTGGCTTTTGCTGTGAAGGAAAGGAGGGTGGTTGCTTGACTTCCAGAGCAGGAGAAGGGAACACCAGTTCCTAACCGTTCTCCATTTGGACTTTCAAAAAGTCACCAGTTTTGAGCCACACCTGGTACTCCCATCTGCAGCGGGACCTGGTGCTTCCAGTTCCTGAGCCTTTGCAGAACCTGCAGCTCCTTCTCCGCTCTCCATCCTCCAGGCACTTAGGTTCAGCTTTTGCTGCTCTGCAAATTAGCTACTGACTCTTCTGTCCTTTTTCCATCTCCCAAAAGGTTGTTAACTGGCTCTTACCTGCTGTGGTGTCCTCTGTTCCTGTTGTCTTCATAGTTTTTATCTTTTTAAATTCCTTTACTGTCATGTCATAGGGTTTGGGGGAGGAATAGAGATAGATGCCTGTCTTCCATGCACCGTGATGAACTGCACACTTGGAATAGGAATTATGACTGTTAGTCTCTAAGCCAGTACATAGTCGTCTAGTGCAGGCAGATTTTGTTTGTGAGTGATGAAGGGTCACTGCAAGGCCACAGTCATCACTGCTGTAACTCTAGTCCCTGTCCGGGCGGACCCACCATTCTTGAATGAGGCTTGAAGATTTGGGAAGCAAGGCATCGAGAGATTAGTTCTTCGCCCTAAAAAGAAAAAATTTCTGGAACTATGTGCCTGTAGGAAAGCAGTTTCTGTCTCTCTCTTTCTCCCCAACTTGCCTTTTTTCTCCCTTTCCCAAGCTCTTACTCTCTTAAGAGGCCCATAATCTGAAAAATGGAAGGAGGTATCTTAAAGGTCATTTGGTCCAATTATATGTTCAGTGCTTGAGTACTCTCTGAAGCTTCCCTACCAGCCTTTGCTTGATTACTGCCTGTAATGGGGAACTCACTGTCTCCCAAATATGGTAGTAATAAAAATATTTGTATTATTAATAGAAGCTAACATTTATTGAGGACTTCCTGTGTGCCTATCACGTATGCTAAGAGTTTCACATGTATTACATCACCCAGTTTTCATGGCAACCTGTAACACAGGTATTAGTTTCATTTTATAGATAAACTGTGGCTCACAGAAGTTGAGGACGTTTTATAATTCACTGAACAAGTACCTCTTGGCCTTTGGCCATTAACTCTTTAGATAATGAGATTCAGAAAAGAGAATTCACTTAAAAAATGTTAAGAAAACTTGTTTTCTTTTTTTTTTTTTCTTTTGAAACAGAGTCTCGCTCTGTCACCCAGGCTGGAGTACAGTGGTGCAATCTTGGCTCATTGCAACCTCCAACTCCCCAATTCAAGCAATTCTCATGTCACAGCCTCCTGAGTAGCTGGGACTACAGGTGCCCGCCACCACGCCTGGCTAATTTTTGTATTTTTAGTAGAGACAGGGTTTCCCCATGTTGCCCGGGCTGGTCTGGAACTCCTGAGCTCAGGTGACCCACCCGCCTCAGCCTCCCAAGGTGCTAGGATTACAGTTGTGAGCCACTGTGCCCAGCCAAGAATCTAAAATTTTATTTTATTTTTTTTGAGACAGAACCTTGCTGTGTCACCCAGGCTGGAGTGGAGTGGCGCCAGGCTGGAGTGCACTGGCACAATGTCAGCTCACAGCAACCTCCACCTCCCAGGTTCTAGCAATTCTCCTGCCTCAGCCTCCCAAGTAGCTGGGACTAGAGGCGCCCGCCACTACACGCCACTAATTTTCTATTTTTAATAGAGAGGGGGTTTCACCATGTTGGCCAGACTAGTCTCGAACTCCTGAGCTCAGGCAATGCACCTGCCTCGGCCTCCCAAAGTGCTGGGATTACAGGCATGAGCCACCATGCCCAGCCTCTAAAACTTTCATAGGAGCTGCAGAGGCTGCAGGATCCCTATATGTGAAGGATGACACTGCCCTCATGGAGTCTCTCTCTCTCTTTTTTTTTTTTTTTTTTTGAGATGGAGTCTTGCTCTGTCGCCCAGGCTGGACTGCAGTGGCGCAATCTCGGCTCACTGCAACCTCTGCCTCCCGGGTTCACACCATTCTCCTGCCTCAGCCTCCCAAGTAGCTGGGATTACAGGTGTGCGCCACCACGCCCAGCTAATTTTTGTATTTTTAGTAGAGATGGGGTTTCACCATGTTGGCCAGGATGGTCTTGAACTCCTGACCTCAGGTGATCCGCCTGCCTCGGCCTCCCAAAGTGTTGGGATTACAGGTGTGAGCCACCATGCCCAGCCACTCAGGGAGTCTTAATTCCCTCCAACCTGCTGGCAGTGATTGCAGACCATCTGGAACATCAGCCAACATCCCCAATTATGGAAGTAGCTTTGTTTTCTTTTCTTTTTTTTTTTTTTAAGAGAGACAGTCTCGCTCTGTGGCCTAGGCTAGAGTGCAGTGCTGTGATCATAGCTCACTGCAGCCTTCAACTTCTGGGCTCAAGTGATCCTCCCACGTTAAGCTCCTAAGTAGCTAGGACTTCAGGTCCCACCACTACACCTGACTAATTTTTTTAGAGACAAGATCTCAATATGTTGCTCAGGCTGGTCTTGAATTACTGGTCTCAAGTGATCCTCCCACCTTGGTTTCCCAAAGTGCTGGGATTACCATCATGAGCCACTATACCTGGCCCTGTTTTCTTTTTAAATACAGTTTAAGGCACGGTGGCTCAAAAGCCTGTAATCCTAGCACTTTGGGAGGCTAAAGTTGGGCTGATCACCTGAGGTCAGAAGTTCCAGACCAGCCTGGCCAACATGGAGAAACCCCGTCTCTACTAAAAATACAAAAATCAGCCAGGTGTGGTGGTGTGTGCCTGTAATCCCAGCTACTTGGGAGGCTGAGACAGGAGAATCGCTTGAATCCAGGAGGCAGAAATGGTAGTGAGCCGAGATCATGCTGCTGCACTGTCCAGCCTTGGCGACAGAACAAGACAGGGTCTCACACTGTTGCCTAGGCTGGAGTATGGCAGCCTGAAACGCTTGGATTCAACTGATCCACCCACCTCAGCCTCCCAAGTAGCTGGGACTACAGGTGCAGGCCACCACGCCTACCTAATTTTTAAAATTTTTTTAATTTTTGTAGAGACAGGATCTTGCTATGTTGTCCAGGCTGGTCTCAAACTCCCAGCCACAAGTGATCCTTCCACCTCAGCCTCCCGAAGTGTTGGGATTGTAGGCGTGGGCCAACACACCCAGCCAGCTTCATTTCTGCACCGAACCTTTTATTTTGAAATGATTGAAAGATTCACTTGCAGTTATAAAAAATAACGTGGAAAGATCTATGTACCCTTTACCCAGTTTTTGCCAATGGTAACATCTTGCAAAACTATAGTACAATGTAATAACTCGGATATTAACATTGACACTTTACTATTTTTTTAGATCAAAGGTGTATTTCATACTTAATGGTCAAAATGATTTTCAAAAGATAGAAAAAAAATTTAAAAATAGAAGTCCAAATAACTAATAGGTGAATACATAAATAAAAGTCTTCTTGTTTCAGCCCCTGGCCTCATTCCCTAAAGGAAACCACTGTTAAAAACAAAAACAAACCAGGGCTGGGCACGGTGGCTCACACCTGTAATCCCAGCACTTTGGGAGGCCGAGGCGGGTGGATCACCTGAGCTTGGGAGTTTGAGACAGCCTGAGTAACATGGAGAAACCCCATCTACTAAAAATACAAGAAATTAGCCAGGCGTGGTGGTGCACGCCTGCAATCCCAGCTACTCGGGAGGCTGAGGCAGGAGAATCACTTGAACCCAGGAGGCAGAGATTGCGGTGAGCTGAGATCGCACCATTGTACTCCAGCCTGGGCAACAGAGCGAAACTCTATCTCAAAACAAACCAACCAACCAGGATTGAAGTTTCTATTTTCCTATTTTCACATACACATTTTCTTCAGCCATATTATATGTGTATGTATAGCCTACATTGGCTAAATCTGAGGAACACCACAAACATCAGATAAATCTCTCATGTCGTGTAGGCCCCAGGAAACAGGAAATAAGCATTCTTAGATCATTGTAAGACTGAAGTAATGGGCTGGGTGCGATGGCTCACACCTGTAATCCCAGCACTTTGGGAGGCTGAGGCAGGTGGATCATCTGAGGTCAGGAGTTCGAGACCAGCCTGGCCAAGATGGTGAAACCCCATCTACTAAAAATACAAAAATTAGCTGGATGTGGTGCACCTCTAATCCCAGCTACTTAGGAGGCTGAGACAGGAGAATCACTTGAACCCGGGAGGCAGAGGTTGCAGTGAGCCAACATCATGCCACTGTGTTCTAGCCTGGGTGACAGAGCAAGACTCCGTCTCAAAAAACAAACAAAAAAAGATTGAAGTAATGAATTTTATTTCAGTGGTATGGGGAACCTTGTTTCTGACAGTAGGGGAAGCTATCATGTTCCTGGTAGGAGGTTGCATCTTATTTCAAGCGGTGGGAAAACAGGACCTGGCTTTGCATTAGTAACTGAAGCCAGGTGGTGAACTCTCAGCATGTGTAAGGAGCCGGCTGAGAAGGAGCTTTGCTCCCATGATATTAAATTATCTGATTATTGAAAACTTTTGTAAATGGTCATTAGTGAGCAAATTGTCTTTTTAAAAATTCTATTATGAAAGAGTTTTAAACTTAACAGAAAATAGGCAAGAACAGTGCCAAGAACTCCTGTACACTCCTTTGCCCAGAGACTATTCCTTTAGAGCAAAGGCTACAGCCCAGAATCACGCGCTTCACCCCATTCATCACAGCTCTCCTTTCTGTCCATCTGGTGCCACTCCTCAGTTTTCCTGAACTTCCGCGATTTTGGCGTTTGTGGAGGTTATAGGCTGATCATTTTGTAGAATGTCTTTCAATGTGGATTCGTTGATGTTTCTGCATGATTAGACCCCACCTGTGTGTACTTGAAGCCTGAATGTCACAGACTCTGTTCTTTTTATCCTATTCTGTGTCTTTCTGTCCAGTTACTGGTGAGGTTACTGCTGTCGCCTTGAAGCACAAGGTGTTCTGGGTTTGTCTTGTTTTTTCATGACCCTGTAACTGGCCACATCTTCAAGGAGCGCTGCTTCCATATAGTGGAGGGGGGTGTTTGGAAATGAGATCTGGTTGCTGGTGTGCCTATTTCCACTAGGGTATTGCAGCTCCCAGACCTTCTCATAGGATAGAGCTAGGGGACTTGTACATTTATAGTTATTTCTGTATCTGCGTCATATATCATGTTCACACAAATGCATCTAATTCCAATCTAACATCACAGAGTTGTCTTTTAAAAATATGACAAGCTGGCCATGCGTGATGGCTCACGCCTGTCATCCCAGCACTTTGGGAGGCCAAGGCAGGCGGATCACCTGAGGTTGGGAGTTTAAGACCAGCCTGGCCAACATGGAGAAACCTCGTCTCTACTAAAAATAGAAAATTAGCCAGGCATGGTGGCACATGCCTGTAATCCCAGCTACTCGGGAGTTTGAGGCAGGAGAATCGCCTGAACCCGGGAGGTGGAGGGTGCAGTGAGCCAAGATCGTGCCACTGCACTCTAGCCTGGGCGACAGAGCGACAGAGTGAGACCTTGTCTCAAAAAAAAAAAAAAAAAAAAAAAAGTTTCCCAGTGGAGAACTACTGCCAGAGATAGAATCTCCACAAAATGTGGCAGTATTAAATTTTCAGTGACTAGAATACAATTCTGAAGTGGGCTATGGCTTAAAATTCCAGGTTCTTCAGAGCTTCTATACACATCTCCTTTGCTATAGGACAGTGTCTGGAACGAAAGAATAAAATAAACAACATTTGAAACAGGGTCTCAAATAATTTTTTATTGGCCGGGTGTGGTGGCTCATGTTTGTAATCCCAGCACTTTGGGAGGCTGAGGCGGGCGGATCATGAGGTCAGAAGTTTGAGACCAGCCTGACCAACATGGTGAAACCCCGTCTGTACTAAAAATACAAAAATTAGCCAGGCGTGGTGGTGTGCACTTGTAATCCCAGCTACTCAGGAGGCTGAGGCAGAAGAATCGCTTGAACCCAGGAGGCAGAGGTTGCAGTGAGTCGAGATGGTGCCTCTGCACTCCAGCCTGGGTGACAGAGCGAGACTCTGTCTCAAAAACAATAATAATTTTGTATTCTATAACATAAACAGCATTTGGAACCGCGTCTCCAGTAATTTTCATCTCTACACAGGCCCCGAATACTCAGTGCATACTCCACGTCAGGCACTCTGCTCTGCTAAGTACACGAAAACCTCTTTTTTTTTCTTTTTTGAGATGGAGTCTCGCTCTGTCGCCCAGGCTGGAGTGCAGCGGTGCCATCTCAGCTCACTGCAAGCTCCACCTCCCGGGTTCAAACGATTCTCCTGCCTCAGCCTCCCAAGTAGCTGGGATTACAGGTGCCTGCCACAATGCCCAGATAATATTTTTTGTATTTTTAGTAGAGATGGGGTTTCACCATGCTGGCCAGGCTGGTCTTGAACTCCTGACCGCACATCTTAAATCTTCATCACAATCCTATGTACTGTTATCTCTATTTTATTATTATAGAAATTGGGGCTTAGGCCATACCCAGTGGCTCAAACCTGTAATCTAAGCACTTTGGGAAGCTGAGGTGGGTGGATTGCTCGAGTCCAGGAGTGTGAGACCAGCCTGGGCAGCATGGCAAAACTCTCTCTCTACAAAAAATACAAAAATTAGCCTTGCATGGTGATCGCACCACTGCACTCCAGCCTGAGTGACACAGTGAGACCCTGTCTCAAAAAAAAAAAAAAAAAAAGGCCAGGTGCGATGGCTCACGCCTGTAATCCCAGCACTTTGGGAGGCCAAGGCGGGCGGATCATGAGGTCAGGACATGGAGACCATCCTGGCTAACATGGTGAAACCCCGTCTCTACTAAAAACACAAAAAATTAGCCGGGCGTGTTGGTGGGCACCTATAGTCTCAGCTACTCGGGAGGCTGAGGCAGGAGAATGGCGTGAACCCAGGAGGCAGAGCTTGCAGTGAGCCAAGATCGTGCCACTGCACACCAGCCTGGGTGACTGAGCGAGACTCCGTCTCAAAAAAAAAAAAAAAAAGAAAAAAGAAAAAAACTGAGGCTTAGAGAGCATTGCAGTAACTTACTCAAGGTCATACAATTAGTGATGGAGTCAGAATACAATCCAGGCCAGGTGCAGTGGCTCATTCCTGTAATCCCAGCACTTTGGGAGGCCATGGCGGGAGGACTACTTAAGTCCAGGGGTTCGAGACTAGCCTGGGCAATACAATGAGACCCTGTCCCCACACACACCGAAAAAATAAAAAATCAGCCAGGTGGCTGGGTGCAGTGGCTCACGCCTGTAATCCCAGCACTTTGGGAGGCTGAGGCAGGCAGATCGTGAGGTTAGGAGATTGAGATCATCCTGACCAACATGGTGAAACCCCGTCCCTATTAAAATACAAAAAAAAATTAGCCAGGCATGGTGGCGTGTGCCTATAGTCCCAGCTACTGGGGAGGCTGAGGCAGGGGAATTGCTTGAACCCGGGAGGCAGAGATTGCAGTGAGCCGAGATCACACCACTGCCATCCAGCCTGGCGACAGAGAGAGAGACTGTGTCTCAAAAAAAAAAAAAAAAAAAGCCAGGCGTGGTGGCACATGCCTGTAGTCCCAGCTTCTTGGGATGCTGAGGCAGGAGGATCACTTGAGCCAGGGAGTCGAGGCTGTAGTGAGCCATGATTGCGCCACTGCACTCCATCCTGGGCAACAGAGCCAGACCCTGTCTCAAACAAAACAATACAGTCTAGGGAGTTTCATTCTAGCAGCTATGCTCTTAGGTGCTCAAAATTTGTTGAACATTATAAAGAACAAAAGTTGAGCAGAAAACTAATGGATAGTGAAGAAATACTTATTGACATTCTTCACATAGAATGGAGTTTTCAAATCAGAACTGATTTTAGAGAGATGACGTCTACAGTATCCCCAGTGATGTCTGCCTGGAAGGTGCCAGTGACAGGGACCACTTGGTGCTTCCACAGAAGCCCCCATCCTGTTTTCCAGCAGCCTTGCACATCTGTGGATCTGAGACCTGCACCTGCACTTTCCACCTCTGCATCCTTGTGCCTAGTTCTGACACCACATTGTGCCCACCTTTAAACAGGTCAGGAAAGGGAAGTTCTGTTACTCTGCCGGGAACTCCTCTCCCGGAGAGCCACAGGATTTTCTCCCTCATTTCTCTCAGGTTTCATCTCAAACCTCACATACAAGCTTCTGTAACTACCTAAAATAGCACTTACCCACAGTCATTCTGTATCCGAGCAGCCCACAGTCCTAGCTGACATAGATGAATGTTTGTTCTCTGCCCATCCTGCCCCAGAATATAAGCTCCTTGAGGAGAGAACTGGTCTGTTTAGTTCACAGCTAAATATTCCCAGCCCTCTGGAAGTCCCTAGCACTAAAGAGATGCCTCACTGAGGCTGGGTGCGGTGGCTCACGCCTGTAATCCAAGCACTTCAGGAGGCCAAGGCAGGCAGATCATCTGAGGTCAGGAGTTCAAGATCAGCCTGGCCAAAATGGTGAAACCCCGTCTCCCCTAAAAATACAAAAATTAGCTGGGCGTGATGGTGCATACCTGCAATCCCAGCTACTTGGGAGGCTGAAGCAGGACAATCGCTTGAATCCAGGAGGCAGAGGTTGCAGTAAGCCAACTTTGCGCCACTGCACTCCAGCCTGGGCGACAGAGCAAGACTCCTCACACACACAAAAAAAGATGTTTCGGCCAGGCGCGGTGGCTCACGCCTGTAATCCCAGCACTTTGGGAGGCCGAGGCGGGTGGATCATGAGGTCAGGAGATCGAGACCATCCTGGCTAACAAGGTGAAACCCCGTCTCTACTAAAAATACAAAAAATTAGCCGGGCGCGGTGGCGGGCGCCTGTAGTCCCAGCTACTCGGGAGGCTGAGGCAGGAGAATGGCGTGAACCCGGGAAGCGGAGCTTGCAGTGAGCCGAGATTGCGCCACTGCAGTCCGCAGTCCGGCCTGGGCGGCAGAGCGAGACTCCGTCTCAAAAAAAAAAAGATGTTTCATAAGTATTTGTTGAATGAATAAATGAATGAAACGGGCCAAGTGTGGTGGCTCACACCTATGCTGTAATCCCAGCACTTTGGGAGGTTGAGGCAGAGGATCGTGTGAGGCCAGGAGCCCAAGACCAGCCTGGTCAACATAGGAAGACCCCCCCACACACACCTCTTTACCAAAAAAAAAAAAAAAAAAAAGGTGCTTCAAACACCGTGACACGAGAGAACTAGAAATCATGGATGGTGAGACCAGTGACACAGATCTGGAAATGTATGGCTTCGAGTCCATATGCAGAATTCTTCCGTCCTTCCAGTGTCTTGCTTTTTACACAAAATATGCCCCACCCCACCTATGGGCAGGACTGAGAAGGCAGGAGTTCCATCAGCAGCAGGAGCCTTCCATTTGTCCTGCTTTTTTTGTTCCAGATGAGACAAAAGGACCCAGTGAAAGGAATGACAGCAGATGACTAAAGCCGCCTTTCCCCTCTGCACTGTACGTACCAAATTTCTCACTGTGCGTGTCACAGACGCTAAAATCAGTTTGGGTTTCAAGGCCTCAGCAGCTCACTATGGAGTCAGAAAACCTATTCCTCCTTCCCTCTAGTAATGATGGTTGCCACGCTCGATAGCTCTCCACTTCCACTAGGAGATTATGGCCCTTGGGACATTTCAGGGACATTTTCCAAAGAACCACCCAGATAGAGACAATGGACAGGGAGGGGGTGGTGGATATAGAAGGGGAGTTCATCTGCTGCGAATCACTCCTCCTGTCTGCCAGCTTGATCCATCTCAAGTTGCAGCTGTCATGTTGGGCACTCCCTGGCCTTCCCACGCCAGCGCCAGCTCCCAAAAGCTGCCATTACCTGCCCTTCCCCCTTGGAAAACTTGCTGGCCAGACAGCTTTTGTTAGCACCCACTGTTGTCTGGTGCTTCATTTCCTTCTTTATACCCCCGATCCCATACTAAGCTGCCCTCATCAGAGGTGGCATCTTTCAGATGCTGGGAGGGTGTTTCTGCCCAGGTCACAGGGCCAGATTGGGGGCCCCTTGTTTCATGTTGTCACTTTTCCCCAAGCCCCCTCCTTCCGTTAACTCTCGGTGCTGGTTTCCCAGTGCCCTGTACACCACCCGAGTCATGGGATTCCAGCAGCTCAAAGCAGTCTTAATCACTGAATGAAAAACCTGGCTCTGCTCCCAATTAGCCTCAGAGAGAAAATTATTTTTACAAATAAAAGCTGGCCTCTAACCCTACGGGCAAGGAGGGCCAGGGTCTCACCAGGAGTGACGGCAGGCCCTGCTTACTCTCCCTGCCCCATGTTCCCAAAGCAGCCTCGGGGAGGCTGGAGGGTGGAATGAGGCGGACTGCTGTGATGCCAGCTTCTCAGTCACTGCTCTGGGCCTCAGTGCTCTCCCCCACTCCCTTCCCCACCCACCCACTGGCTTCCCTCCTCCTCTTGAAATTATCCATTCAGGACGATTTACAGTGTTTCTGTTTTCTCCTCTTGCTTCCTTAATACTTTCATTTTTCTTCTAGTTTTGCAAGACAGTGGTCAACAGGAAGACCCAGCAGCTCCACCCTCCCAAGTGACAGGCCATTTTCGGACGCAGCCGTTCTGTGCCCATTCTTCAGGCAACTTTCGATTCCTTACTGTAGCTAATTCTAGATGCCCTTCAGTATTGTGAACAAATAGACCGTCTGGTGTCACAGAGCCCGCGTGTGCAGGAGCCTGCTCCTCCGAGATACGTGGCGTGTAGGTTGCTGTAGTTACAGCGCCTCCGTCTCTCTCCATTGTGTTCCGATCCATTTCTGTGTGTTCCCCCAACCTTTATTTCCAAGTGACATTTTCAGTCTTTCAAATAGCTGCCTTTTGTGATGTGGTGATTTAAATGATTTAAGTTCATTTGTTCTCAACCTTGGGGTAAACTGAGGTATTTTGCTTCCTGGGAAGATCTTCGCAATTTTGAGTGCTCCTGTGGGGAGCGGGGATGAGCTAAAGATACAATGTTTCCCTGCCCCGCACCGCTTCCACAAAATAGCAATGTGGTTTTGCAGCTCTGACTTCTGCTCCCAGTAACCCATCGTTAGGGCACTCTAGCACTATGGAGGTACCCAAGGCTCAGCCAGTCTCTATTTAAGAAAATTTAACAAATACGAGTAACCCTGTCCCAATCACTGAATCTCTAGTTACTACTCTTAGAAACACCTGTGGCTTCTTGGCCCTCCTGTTGCCCGCTCTGAATCTCTCTGCAGTCTACAAAATCGCCCCAGTCAACTCTCCACTTGGAGGGAATTGTCCAGTGTGGCCCCTAGAATTGAGTCACCCCCTAGATACCAACTGTCTGACCCCGAGGAGCTCTGTAAGTCCCTGCTCCTCCTCTTCCCTTTGGGGCTGGTGCTGCCACTCAGCAATAATCCTCTTTTCTCTGTGCTTTCTTAGGTCCCTGTCCTCTGTCTTTGAGGCTGGTTAGGAAGCAAGAGTCCTGATCTTTCATGCTGCACAATATGAGCATGCAAAAAGCTTTTTCCAGCAGAACATGTTCCCTCGTCTCCAGTTGCCGGAAAGGAATTTGGGGATCAAGAACTTAGCTCGTCCTACCCCCATGTTGAGTTCTGCCCTGGAAAACCCAAAGCAAGTAGTGATCATAGTACAGAACCCGACCAAAGTAGGCTGGTGAGGAAGTCCAGGCTCCAGGGGAACAGACGCTGCCCAGTGTTCATAGCTTCCTGCAACTTGACAGAGCCTGAGTTTGCCTCTTAGTGGGAGAATGAGAGAGAGCTGTAGTGTCACCTGACATTCCCCAAACCTTGTGAAGCACGTTGGCCTAAGTGTGCCGTGATCCCAGCCCACACTAGCCTGGGTGCATCTGCTAATGGGAGACCAAATCTTTGTCCGGGAAGCAAGAAGTGGGTGGGAGAATGTATCCTGTTTTTGTCAGTTTGTTTGCCTTACTCATTTCTAAGTGCAATAAGGGAGTGTCTCACAGGATTGCACCTGTGACATCCTGATGGATGCTTCCCTGTGGCCCTCCTGGGGCAAGGGTGGACAGACTCAGACCCCCAGCATGGTTAGCGCTGACCTTCATTGAGGTCCCTTTGGAACCAGATGTCTTGTTACAGACACCTTCCTCTGTGTAAGTCTCCTCACCTTGAGGGGTCTTTAGTAATGCATCTGGGTAGCATCTCAACTGCTGGTAGCATTTATCTGACTTGGAAAGTTGGAGAAGAGGCATTCCTACTGGAGAAAAATGTCAGTGTTTTCCTATAAGCTCTGTGTTAGCTATTCATTATATTTGTGCTTAAAGATGTTCCTTCATTCATCAACTAGGGGAAGTCCAGATGCGGGTTATCTTGAAAGAAACAAACTGACATTCTAGGCAGACAGTTGTCTATGTGGTCTGAGGGTCAGCAGCTGTTAGTCTCCTTCCTTTGGCTCTTGAGACCCACACATATCACTTTAGCCCTAACAAGGGCTCCTCCCACCTCCACCTGTTGCCCCAGTTGAAAAGCATCCATTATGAGCTGAGGTCAGCCTGGATCTGGAATTGCAGCCCACATAAACATAAAGGAGGATGTCCCTGGTCTGTTCCATCCCCACGGATGGTGTTGCTGCTGGGCAACAGTGTTGGCTTCTTTTAAGTACCCCCTTTCCTCCTCACCCACCTCCAAACTGACTAGCACTCAGAGGGACTTATGATAAAGGTTCAGCTCCAGGGGTAGTACCTGAGTGTGTGCCATGCCCCTTCAGACCAGCTGCTTCCATCAGAATTCCAGGGTCACAGCCCCAACAGAAGCAGCAGTGCCTCTGTAGGAGGGGTGCTGGGCTCTGGCCTTCTCATGCAGAGAGGTCCGGGACAGGGTCAGTATCGTGGGCATGTGTATAGCTTCCCAAGTTCTTTTACAGTCCCTGCTGGGACTCCCTGACTTACTTTGGTTGGTTCCTAGTGCTACTTGTTTTACAAACTACACTTTGTAGAATTGATTAGATTACCTTGTTTATTTAATGTGAGTTTGTGCCTTTTTGTCTCAATCTTCCAATACAGGTATATTGAGAAAAAAAGCAGTCTAATAAAATCCTAGACAGAACTTTCTGGAGTCCAGTTTGGTGATGTCCATTTTCCAGCTGTATGTATCCTCAAACTTGCACTGATAACCGCCATTTTACCAGGGCAGGATTAGGAAGAGGTACAAAGGTGTGTCTGAAAATTTTTGCACGTGGATTTCTGCATATAATAGTCCCGTGTCAGTTTACTTATGCAAACATTGCACATCTGAATTGTAATTCGGCCGTTTCCTACTGACAGGATGTCCTTTTGCTTTTGTCTGCCTCCTCTTCACATCTTCCTCTTTATCCACCCTACCAAACAAGCAAAACATTTATTTAAAGTAGTTTTAGGCCGGGCGCGGTGGCTCACACCTGAAATCGCAGCACTCTGGGAGGCCGAGGCGGGTGGATCAGCTGAGGTCAGGAGTTCGAGACCAGCCTGACCAACATGGCGAAACCCCATCTCGGCTAATTATTATTATTATTTTTTTTTTTTGAAACGAAGTCTCGCTCTGTCGCGCAGGCTGGGGTGCAGTGGCGCAATCTCGGCTCACTGCAACCTCCACCTCCCGGGTTCAGGCGATTCTCCTGCCTCAGCCTCCCGAGTAGCTGGGATTAACAGGCGCGCGCTATCAAGCCCAGCTAGCTTTTGTGTTTTTAGCAGAGACGGGGTTTCACCATGTTAAGGCCAGGCTGGTCTTAAACTCCTGACCTCAAGTGAGCCGCCCGCCTCGGCCTCCCAAAGTGCTGGGATTACAGGCATTGAGCCACCGCGCCCCGGCCTACGTTTCATTTATTGACGGCTAATTCTGTAGGAGTCCAGGAATCCCCAAACGTCCCATATGCAATAGGTAATCCAATAAGTTTGGAGTAGAAGCCTGAAAGTGGGCGTGGAGAACGGAGGCGCTCCCGCAGTAGCAGGAATGGGGAGATTACCTGCAGCCGGGGGGCGGGGGAGACCGGATCCCAGGCAGGACAGTGGCTAGGCTGCGTGTCCCCACCCCCGACCCTCGTTTGACCCCTGGGAGCCGGGGCGAAGACAGCACAAGGACGGAGCCCTCGGATCCCTCACGAGTGGGGCAGAGGCTGCGGCGGCGGCGAAGAGACAACTTCCGCCGGAAGACGGCCCCTGGCGCGGGGCACGCTGGGAGCTGCGGACGGCGGGCGCGGGCTGGGCCGGGTCTAGTGGCGGCCGCACACCTCGCGTCGTCTGGGGCAGTGTTGCGCGTGCGCTGATGACAGGCCCGACACGCCCCTCTTACGTCCGCGAACCCGTCTTCGCTCAGCCTCTCGCAGCTTTGCGCTCGTGGGAGAGTCCCGCCTCCTTCTGCGAACCGCACCACCCAGATCCCGGGGTGCGCGGAGGGCGCGTCTCTGACGGAAGCCGGGGCGGACGGTCGGAGTCCGGAAGAAAAACAGTCCGCGACAGCTAGGCGCGTGAGACCGGCCGCCCGCAGGGCTGCTCTGGCCGGGACCCGCTGGCCGGGAGACGCGAACCTGCCGGACCACCGCGCGGGGACGACGGCGGCCATGAGCTCGCGGAAGCTGAGCGGGCCGAAAGGCAGGAGGCTCAGGTGAGGGCACCCTGGCGGCAGAGGCAGGCCTGCTCGGGGGGATCGGCGCCCCTTGGGCTGCGGGCTGGGGGTGGACAAGGCACCAGACCTCCATGACTGCCTTTGGTTCAGAGGCGCTCTCGCCTTCTCCCACGCCTGTGTCAGGTGGGCTGTGTTGGGCCCGAGCCTCGCGCCCCCTCTAAGCCGAGGCCGCCAAGCTCGTTCCCACTGGGGCGCAGCAGGTGTCCCGGTTGCTTTCTGGAGAGGACAGCCGTGTGGGGTTGTTTGAGGTTAAAGACATAACGAGGCCGTCACCCTTCGGCTCTCGGTTAGAAATCTTTTTCCTACTTTTCATCAGCACATACATCAGGAGGTCTGCCTGATCCCATGGTGAACCCCGGGAATCCGAAATCAGATTGAGATAAGATCCTTTAGGGAAGTGACTTAGCCTGGTCTCTTGCCTGCTCTTTCACGGGGAACAACGCTAATCGCCCACTTAGTCTAAGTCACGATGCTTGGATTTGCTGCTAATCGTCGGATTTGAGAGTGGGAACAAGAAATCCGGACTTTTGCTCTCCATCCTCTTAGAGTGAGTCTGGGAAAAGAAGTCTCTGAGTAAAAGGTCTTTGTTCCTTAAGCCTCTGTCGGACAGCAGGGGGAGATCGTAAACAAATGAAGCTCAAAATCTCAGGCCGAGTGCCTGGGAAGGTGGTTTCTGTATAGTGTTGTTTATGCTAACAGGGAGGGACAGGAAGTTGCTTTAAACTGGCCAAGAATTTCTTGAAGTGCTTTTGAGAACGTCGACCTCTAAGGACGGGGTCTGTTGGAGGAGAGATGTTTTGGCATTAACTGCCCTTTTCTCCCATCCCCCTGTACCCTCTGCCATTCCAGATCTCCAGCTGCTGCAGGTACTCCTCATCGTGTGCCTAGGACTCATGCTAGGCTGTTCCTGGTCTCTGCAGGGTCTGTAGCTCCTGCCCGCTCTGTGCTCCGCACAGTCTGAGGCTTCTTGAAGAGCTGCTGTGACTGACTGTTCCACTAAAGACATCTGTAGGTCTCTCTTTCCTGAGCCTCTGACTGGATCCAGTGTCATTGAGGCCCCTTATCTAGTTTTCTTGCTTCCCTAAGACTTGTAAGCTGAGGTGGAAAATATCCAACTGATGACTTTTCCCCAGAGAGTACTCTTTATTTTTCACGGAATACTACGCAGACATAGAGCATAGACTCTTAAGAGAGATGTCGAGAAACCTGTTACTTAAAAACTCCTTGGCCGGGCGCGGTGGCTCAGGCCTGTAATCCCAGCACTTTGGGAGGCTGAGGCGGGCGGATCACCTGAGAGATCAGGAGTTCAGGACCAGCCTGGCCAACATGGTGAAACCCCGTCTCTACTAAAAATACAAAAGTTAGCCAGATGTGGTGGCACACACCTGTAATCCCAGCTACTTGGGAGGTTGAGGCAGGAGAACTGCTGGAACCTGGGAGGCGGAGGCTGCGATGAGCCGAGATCATCCCAGTCCACTCCAGCCTGGGCAACAGAGTGAGACTCAGTCTCAAAAAAAAAAAAAAAAAAAGTCTCGCTGAAGTGCTTGGCAAAATTGGCTTGCTCCAGGGATCTGCTAGGGAGGAGAGAGGAAGGGAATATGGTGGTGTTATCTCTTTTATTTTTTAAATTCCTCTGCCCTTGTAGTGCTGAGGCCTATCACAAGGTGAAATCTGAATCCCTAGGATCTTCCTGGTGGTCTTAGGAACACTTGGGGTGAGAAGTAGGGATCAGAAGTTGCCGACTGAGCCATAGATGATGACAGAGGGGTGTGGGTGGCTGGAGGAGCTGATGGAATTAATACATTCCTGGCAGTTCAGCCCCCTAACCCTTCGCTAGCCTGACCTGAAATTCTTGGGCTCCCTTTGGCGACTCTGCTATATCAGCAGCACCAGTGCTGCCGGGTGTGGGTGGCTGTGAGCCAGCATGGAGGACCCAGTCCGGGGTGGGGATTTCTTGCTTCAGCAGAGAAAGGTGAGGACGGACAGCTGATGGTTCAGTATCCCCATTCCCTCCACCAGCACAGAAACCCACATTTCCCATCATGAGTGTGGCAGATTGCAGTGACATAAGCAGGCCTAGACCCCGTGCACTATCTTTTTTTTTTTTCTTTTGAGACAGAGTCTCACTCTGTCACCCAGGCTGGAGTGCAGTGGCACAATGTCGGCTCACTGCAACCTCTGCCTCGTGGGTTCAAGCAATTCTCCTGCCTCAGCCTCCAGAGTAGCTGGGATTACAGGCGCCTGCCACCATGCTGGGCTAATTTTTGTACTTTTAGTAGAGACGGGGTTTCACCATGTTGGCCAGGCTTGTCTCGAACTCCCGACCTCAGGTGATCCGCCCACCTCGGCCGCCCAAAGTGCTGTGATGACAACGTGTGAGCCTCTGCGCCCAGCCGACCCCGTGCACTATCTTATCCTCCTTCCTCCATGACTTCCCTCTGCATCCCTTCCGCAGCATACACGTCGTGACTTGGAACGTGGCTTCGGCAGCGCCCCCTCTAGATCTCAGTGACCTGCTTCAGCTGAACAACCGGAACCTCAATCTTGACATATATGTTATTGGGTAGGTATCTGCAGGCTCCTTCGCCCATCCCTGACCAGTCCCAGGTTTCCCTGTGGGAAGCACTGTGACCTGCCCTCCTCCGCTCTGGAGTCTGAAGGCTGGGAGCTTTCAGCCTGCTTCAGGGACAGTCCCATGTCTCTGGTCCCGGGTCAGCAACGGCAAAGGGGGCTGGAGATCAGCAGGCAGGGGAGGGAGACCTCATGGCCATCAGAACTCAGGCCTTGAAAGTCCGTGAAGATGGTATCAAATATCTGTGGCAGGGGAAGTAGCCTGGAGGCCAGGGGCCAAGCCTCTGAGCTGGCATGGTCAGTTTGCAGGAATTGAACTCTGGGATCATAAGCCTCCTTTCCGATGCTGCCTTTAATGACTCGTGGAGCAGTTTCCTCATGGATGTGCTTTCCCCTCTGAGCTTCATCAAGGTAACTTGCCAGTTCATTGGCACTTGACAACTGTGTTTTCACATCTCCACTGACCCCTGCTTGTTGGGTCTGATGTGTTCCTCTTACTCCTGCTCAGCCTTTCATGCTGTTTCCCATTTGTTTAAAGGGCTAAACCTCCCTTCCACCTGGACCCCGGGGCCCCTGCCTGCCTTCGCCTTTCTGAGGGAGCTGGAGTCTCCAGGGGTTGGGTTAACACCTGGATATGTTTCAGCTTGGGAAGATTCTGAGGGGAGGTGCAGCAGGGCTTGTCATCACCTCAGTGCTGGCCGCTGCCCCAGCCACCAGTCTCTACTCAAATGCCCATCCTGAAGTCTCTGAGTGTAATCATACGGCTGTCATTTATCAAGTGCTTACTTGTTGTTACACATCATAAGTAGCTCTTTATAGTATATATGTTATTTTAAAATCTTAACAAGTCTGTTGAAATAGAGATATTTTACAGAGAAAACCATGGCTCAGAAGCCACATGCGCTATCTGGGATTTGGATCCAGATCTCTCAAACTTCATAACCCAAGTTCTTAACTACTAATACCTTATTGCTATGCTGGTGAACTCTAAGACTGACAGATCTTAGGCGTGGCTAGCCTGCTGGTGTCATAGGGTATCCTCAGGTCATACGGGACGTGCACTTCAGATTCTGGGGGTCCAGAGGTTAGGAGAGGGGAGTCAGGTGTGGTGGGTACTTTGGGCGGCTTTCTTAGTCTGAGAGACCAGTATACTCTGGGGTGTCTTTAGACAGTAGGAGAGTCCACAGGAAGGCCCTGGGTTGCCAGATCTTCACCTTCACCTTGGTTCTGCCCTGCACACCTGAGGAATGAAACACACTCCCATTCACAGCACCTGGTATACAGCTGCTTAGAAATACCAGAATTCCCTCTTTCCCCTTCCTGGATGACTCTTGTTCTTCAGAATGGATTCTGTCAGCCTAGTTTGCCTGGGGGTACTGAGGCAAGAGCTGTGTGTCCTTTGGAGGGGGAGCAGAATGGGGAGGAAAGAATCTAAGGTTTAGAACTCCTGCTGAGGATAGAAAACACCAGCCCGAGTCCTTGGTTCCCTCCACATCAAACCCAGAGGCCTCCTTCTGTAGATAGGGAGCTAGATCCTTACAGAGGACACAACCACTTCTCTCTCACCCGCCACTCCCTTCCCAAGACTGCAGGCCTCCTTGCTTCTCGGCTGACTGGCAAAGGATTGGTAGGATGGAATTGAGCCAAGGAAATTAGCTCAACTTGTGGCAGAGACACAGCCCTTTCTACCCATGTGGCCTACTGAGATTGGGAGGCCAGACTGAGGGCCTGGCACCCAAAATGAATGCCCTTCTTTCCCCAGCCAAGAATCAGGGTGGATGGGTGAGCTCCGTGCATTTGCCAGCTATAGACTGAGAAGGGCTGACCCCCTTCCACTGCTCCAGGGCCCCCAGCCACCTCCTGCTAGTCCTTTCTTCGCTCCTCCTACTTCATTTCCTCCAACTAGAACTTTCCCTAGAACTCTCCTGCTTTTCCCACAGCCCCACCCTTTCTCCCAGTCTAACTCTGTCCTGCCCCGACCCCACCCTCCCCGCCCCCACTTCCCTGCTGCTCCTTCACAAAGCGAGCCAGTGTCTTTGTGGTGGAACCCAGTGGCCTAAAGCTGCTTTGTGGGTGGGGATTAAGCCTGAAACTTTTCCTGAGTCTTTATCAGTCCCCTTGCTTCAATCCTGACCCTGGGAGTCAGCCCCTCATGGTCCAGCCCGTCCTCCATCCCTGTTGGCACGTGTGCTTGGGTGTAGGAGAGAGAAGACTGGGGAGGAAGTAGGCTTGAGGACACACCTGTAGCAACCTCTGGCCCACCTGAAGTTCTGATGCCTCCCTTACCCAGTGCTGGGTTTGAGGTTCCCCCTGCTTCGACTCCGCTATGCCAGGGCTCGTGGCCTGCAGGATCAAGTTTCATAATTCCTGGAAGGCCCCAGTACACGCTCCCCACCCGGGGATTTCCTCCTTGGCCTCCACACTTCATTCTCCGGAAACGGCTCCTCGGGTGCCGGTGGTAGACAGCCTGAACCTGAGAGGGAGAGCTACTGGCTGCGGCCCATTCCCACCCCACCTTTTGCAGCTGCAGATAGTAGGGATCTTGGCAGTCCTAGCCCTTTGATGTTGTTTTACAATACAGGTAGCCCTACTGGTTCCTTAGCCTCCCTAAATCTTAGTTCCTCAACTACAAAACAGGGACGGTGATTCCTTACAGGCTTGGCAGGAGTAAATGAGAGAGGAGGCACTTGAGCAGATGTTAGCTATTCTCCCTAGCCTGTGCACATGTGTCCTTACCCACTGGCATTCCATGGGCGTTGCCTTCATGGACACCCAGCTGCACGCAGTATATAGTTATGGGGTTTGGGGGGAGCATTTTCTTATTTTTTTTTCACTGAGCTATAATGTACACAGAAAAGCATGCAGAAATTCAGTGTACACTTTGATGGGTTTTTGCATATACCCATGTTACCATCAGCCACATCTAGATAAAGAGCAGGCCGAGTACAGTGGCTCATGCCTGTAATCCCAGCACTTTGGGATTATAGAGGCAGGGAGATTGCTTGAACCCAGGAGTTCAAGACCACCCTGGGCAATATGGCAAGACCCTGTCTCTACAAAACAAACAAAAATAGCCGGGCATGTTGGTGCACACCTGTGGTCCTAGCTACTCAGGAGGCTGAGGTGGGAGGATTGCCTGAGCCCAGGATGTCAAGGCTGCAGCGAGCCGTGATTGCACCACTGCACTCCAGCCTGGTAGACAGAGCGAAATCCTGTCTCTAAGTAAAAAGGGAGGAATGGGGGCAGCTGGTGGATAAAGAACATTTCCAAGGAGAGAGGGAGGAAGGGAAGGGGATAAAGAAGAGCATTTCCCAGTATCCTGGAAACCTCTTATGTTCCTTCCTTTTAAGAATGCTTGGCCGGGCGCGGTGGCTCACGCCTACAATCCCAGCACTTTGAGAGGCCAAGGCAGGCAGATCACCTGAGGTCGAGAGTTCAAGACCAGCCTGGCCAACACGGTGAAACCCCATCTCTACTAAAAATACAAGACCTGGTGGTGGGCGCCTGTAATCCCAGCTACTTGGGAAGCTGAGACAGGAGAATCACCTGAACCCAGGAGGTGGAGGTTGCAGTGAGCCGAGACCACGCCATTGCACTCCAGCCTGGGCGACAGAGCGAGACTCCGTCTCAAAAAAAAAAGAATGCTGAAACCAAAAAATAATAGCTTTCAGATAATCCCCACAGCATCTATGAGATGGATTCCTACTTTATCAATGAGAAAATACACTGAGAAACTGCCTCAATGTCAAATACTAAGAATCAGAGCCAGGGTTTGAACCCAGATCTAACTTCAAAGCCAGTATCCTTAGCTTATCTTCTCTTCCCGCCACCCGCACGCCTAGGCGCAGAATCGAAAACCTCAGCCCCCAGAATGTATCATTTGGCAGCTGAGAAGAAGAATGGAAAGGCTTGAAACTCTGAGATTCAAACTGGGATATCGTAGACCCTGGAGCAGGACACTGCATGTAGCTGAGGGCTCTCTAGAGTCCCTAGCACGGAGCTTGGAAGGGATGCACTTGGCCTGTGTGGTTTAATGAGCGACCTTTGCCCTCTCTCTCCTGCAGGTCTCCCATGTCCGTATGCAGGGGATCCTCTTACTGGTCTTTGCCAAGTATCAGCATTTGCCCTATATCCAGATTCTGTCTACTAAATCCACCCCCACTGGCCTGTTTGGGTACTGGGTAAGGACTGAGCTATTGTCTGAGTCGTGAGCTGGGAAGGGCTGGGAACTGTGGAGCTGGGCAAAAGAAAAAGGAAGTGAAAGGAATCTTGGTCCTCTGTCCAGCCCAATGCATGTTTGTTCTTTTGCCTCAGAGTGGGCTTGCTATCCCTGAGGCCAGGCGAGGCGAGCTGGGCTCTGTGCATGGAGAGATCACCCTGGGAAGCTTAGTTACTGTCCCTAGGAGACCCTGCAGGAAGTGAGACTGTCTGCCCTCAGGTCCAGGATGTGGAAAGAGGGGTGTGTCCAACCCGAGTAGCTTCCCACTCTTCTGTTGACCTGTTCTACCAGGGGAACAAAGGTGGAGTCAACATCTGCCTGAAGCTTTATGGCTACTATGTCAGCATCATCAACTGCCACCTGCCTCCCCACATTTCCAACAATTACCAGCGGCTGGAGCACTTTGACCGGATCCTGGAGATGCAGAATTGTGAGGGGCGAGACATCCCAAACATCCTGGACCACGAGTGAGCCTGGGTCTGGCAGACCGTTCCCCGCCCTCTGCCCCACGCTAACCCCCACTAACCCCCACGAGTGAGCCTGGGTCTGCAGACCGCTCCCCGCCCTCTGCCCCACGCTGACCCCCACGAGTGAGCCTGGGTCTGCAGACTGTTCCCCGCCCTCTGCCCCACGCTGACCGCCACGAGTGAGCCTGGGTCTGCAGACTGTTCCCCGCCCTCTGCCCCACGCTGACCCCCACGAGTGAGCCTGGGTCTGCAGACCGTTCCCCGCCCTCTGCCCCACGCTGACCGCCACGAGTGAGCCTGGGTCTGCAGACCGTTCCCCGCCCTCTGCCCCACGCTGACCCCCACGAGTGAGCCTGGGTCTGCAGACTGTTCCCCGCCCTCTGCCCCAGCTGACCGCCACGAGTGAGCCTGGGTCTGCAGACTGTTCCCCGCCCTCTGCCCCACGCTAACCCAAGCCAGCATCCTCTGCTCCATCACGGATCCCCCAGCCAGTGTCGTCAGTGTTCTGGCTCCCACCCTCTCCCTGACCCTTCCCTGGTGCCCATCTGCTGTCTCCCCTTGCTTTGCCTGCCTGGGGTCCCCTTCCTCCAGCCCGTCTGTCTTGCTTAGAAACCCTGAACACTTGGGAACAGGTCAAGGACCTTGTGGCTCCTGAGGTCACCAGGAGGGCTTCTCAGCCTTTCCTCGTGACCAGTTAAGGAGAGGAAGGAAGGGCCACAGCCTGCTCTGTGTTTGCCAGAGCAGGCTCTTTGGTAGGTCTCTCCGGTTTGAATGGTGGTTTAGGAGCCATGAGAACAGTTCCAGAGGACCCACGCGTGCCCTGGCGTCTCACTTGCCCCTCAGGTTTTCTGTGCCCCAGCAGCCCTTGGGTTGAGCAGGCTGAGCCACCTGGTGATCTCCCTTCCCCGACTTCATCACAAATCCTCAGGCTGCCCTCCTTTTTTTCTGAAGCCTCATTATCTGGTTTGGAGACATGAACTTTCGGATCGAGGACTTTGGGTTGCACTTTGTTCGGGAATCCATTAAAAATCGGTGCTACGGTGGCCTGTGGGAGAAGGACCAGGTATCCAGTGAGGGGAGGGTCCCAGGGGGTGATCTGAGCCCACGGTGGGGGCCATGTGAGCTGTGCAGAGTGTTGCTAGATGCCCTCGCTGCTGTTTTCTTTTGCCCAGGTCTGGTGGGGGAGGCTGTCTAGCAGGGCTTCGCATCCAGGGGTGAGGCAGCCACGCCTGATCTTCACATGGAAAAGCCAGGGTAACAGACCCTGGATGTGCTTTAGAATAGAGAGTCAGATACAAAGCATGAAATGAATTATTTAAAAAAGAAGAATAGGGGCCGGGCACGGTGGCTTATGCCTGTAATTCCAGCACTCTGGGAGGCCGAGGTGGGTGGATCACCTGAGGTCGGGGGTTTGAGACCAGCCTGACCAACTTGGAGAAACCTCATCTCTACTAAAAATACAAAAAAAAATTCGCCGGGCGTGGTGGCACGTGCCTGTAATCCCAGCTACTCGGGAGGCTGAGGTAGGGGAATCGCTTGAACCCGGGAGGCAGAGGTTGCAGTGAGCAGAGATAGCGCCATTGCACTCCAGCCTGGGCAACAAAAGCAAAACTCCATCTCAAAAAAAAAAAAAGAAGAAGAATAGGGAACCAGAAGGGCTTTGCACCAGGTACCATCATGCGTCAGCCCATCGTGTCCCTGTCGTCTTTCCCATCCCCAGCCTCGTTTCCCTCTTGGAGGGTGAGGTGCCCCTTTGGAGAACCCTGGCTTCCCCAGGTTCCCCTCTGACACATGTCTGCTAGTGATCTCCCCTAGAGATGGAATTCCAAGTTGGGTCCCTGCAGTCTAAGGACTGGGAAACGGCAGACAGCTGCCTCCCCTGGGCCTTGGTAATGTTTCCGAAAGGATTCGCCTGCTTTCTGGTGGGAGTGGGCTGCTGAGTAGTCACTGGGGCAGTGAGGAATTGGAGTGGCATTGCTTGACTCTTGCCCCATTTGTGACGGCATGTGCTGATCCCTTGAATGGAGTGTGGTACTGGGCCACTGGGTCGAGACTACTGGGAGACGGGGACTATGACTTTGTCTGCAGCTCAGCATTGCCAAGAAACATGACCCGCTGCTCCGGGAGTTCCAGGAGGGCCGCCTACTCTTCCCGCCCACCTACAAGTTTGATAGGAACTCCAACGACTATGACACCAGGTGAGGAGGGAGTGGGGGGCCAGAAGGTCTAGGAAGTCAGGTTACACTGACCCTGCTGGCATGGGAACTGTCTCAGAATAGAAGTGTTAGGGGGGGCAGGAATTGGTCTAGTCATCCCCTCTCCAGAGTGGCACCTCCTGTCCACTTCATGAGGCGCTGACTCGGGGAGCCGTCCCAGATCTCGAGAGAGTGGGAGGAAAGCCAGTGCCAGCAAGGGCAGGAGAGGTGTGTAGGGGGTGGGGGTGTTACAGATAGAACCAGAGGAGAGGGTGGAGCAGCTGCCTCCTGACCTAGGAGGGACTGCACTTCAGCTTCGGGAAACCCCAGACCTTCTGGTCCCCAAACGGGGCAGAAAGCTTGGCCCAGCCAGTTACTGGTATTAAGGACGCCTGCCCCAGCCTGTGAATGGGTCAGGTCTTGTGTGAGAAGGTGAAGTAGTAGGTAGAGAGTTTCATCAGGATCAGTGTAGAGATCATGAGTCTGGTAGTTAGAAGCACGGCTCTGTCTTATTTTAGCCAAAGCGTTTAGGCCTTGATTTTGTCAGCTATAAGGTGTGGATGAGAAGAGCACACACCTCATGAGGCTGAGGACTGAAGGAGGCCGTCACCCAGTAACCATGGGAGAGAACGGCTATTGTGACTTTTCGATTCATGCCGGCTGGGCGCGGTGGCTCACACCTGTAATCCCAGCACTTTGGGAGGGCCGAGGCAGGTGGATCACTGAAGGTCAGGAGTTTGAGACCAGCCTGACCAACATGGTAAAACCCCATCTCTACTAAAAATTCAAAAATTAGCTGGGCATGGTAGCGCGCACCTGTAATCCCAGCTACTCAGGAAGCTGAGGCAGGAGAATTGCTTGAACCCAAGAGGCAGAGGTTGCCGTGAGCCGAGATCTCACCGCTGCACTCCAGCCTGGGTGACAGAGCGAGACTCCGTCTCAAAAAAATAATAATAAAATAAATAGATTCATGTCTTCCCGTGATAGATTTACTAAAAACCTTTCTAAGAAGCTGAGAAGGGGCCAAATAACCACCAAAACCTGAGAAAGAACCACTGGCAACATGTCCCTGACTCATTTTGGGGCAAGGAACCTAATCTCTTTGAAGAAAAGAAGAGCCCCTTACATGTCATGAGGGTCTTTGTTCCAGCGGGAGCAGCTTGTTCATTCCTCCTAGCTGGAGTGTCTCTGTGAGGGAGGCGGGAGGTACCGGCAGGGCAGCCCAGGGCTTTGGGATTTAGCCAGGGAAGAAATATCTCCACAGCCAGACCAAGACAAGAGGTAGAACTCAAGCTTGGTTCTGGAAGTGTTACAGCAAAGCCAAAATATCCTTGTCAAGGAAAGGGGGAAAGAGTGAGCCGATTCAGCAGTGTGGAGCAAGACAGGGTAGGGTCGTGAGCAGGGCCGTCCACAGAAGAGGAGGCAGTGGACGCTGGGGAAGGGACCCGCCCTGGGCAACAGAGCAGGCAGGAAAGGAGGTAAGAGGCCAGGCTGCAGCAGGATGGCCGGCCCAGATCAACAGCTGCAGGGAGACTGCCAGTCTCTGCAGCCATCCATTGGAAACAAGAGTCCTGGTGGGAGCTGTAAGGACAGGGTAGGGCCTTGGGTGGGGAGGGGGTGCTTGAAGCCAGGAGTTCAAGACCTGCCTGGGCAACATAGTTAGACCCCGTCTCTACGAAAATTTAAAAATTAGCTGGGTGTAGTGGCATGTGCCTGTAGTCCCAGCTACTCAGGAAAGCTGAGGCAGGAGGATCACTTGAGCCCAGGAGTTAAAGGCTGCAGTGAGCTGAGATTGACTCACTGCACTCCAGCTGGGCAACCCTGTCTCCAAAAAAAAAAATCCTCTTTAAAAACTTACCAGCAGGAAGAGAGCTGCTGGCAGGCCCTACGGCCAGGCGTCCCCTTCTCCCAGCCCTATGGCAGAGAGACCTCCAGGAGACTGAAGTTTGTTGCAAAAGCTGGATCTGGGCTGGAGTTGGCAGGGTCAGAAAGGGTAGAGAGCTTTGGAGAAGTTCAAGGGCTTCCCCAGGTAGCTCAGCCAGTGAGTGGCAGAGCTGGGGCTGAGACTGATCTCTGAGTCTGTAGCCCACAGTACTTTCCTCAAGCCCATCGTACCTCAGGATTCATGGTCATCCTTGCCAGCAAGAGGAAAAAGGATGGCACGGTGAGGAAGGCAGACTCCCGCTAAGGAGGAGGCACGCACCTATTTCCAAATAACAGCTCATTGTGATTGGCGTGCAGGTGTGCGCCAAGGCTTTGCCTGTATCAGTTCCTACCATGTCCTCGTTAGGTAAACAGTGTTATTATTGCCTGTTTACAAGGAAAGCAACTGAGTCTCAAAGAATATATAAGTAAGGAGTAACAGGCTTCTTCATCGCACGAGGATTGGAACTCATATCTGTGTCTGTAGACTCATGAGCCTTCGGTACTGCTTCCCTTTGGCTGGAGCCCAGGAAATGCAAGACTGTCTGGGCGGGAACAGGGGACATGGTAACTGAAATACTCCTGGCTGGGGCCAGGATCCAGGGGCAGCTGGGAGTTTTGCAGTGAGCAGGGCCTGAGCCCACCTGGGGAACAGATATTCCTGTCTAATGACACTGTTATTTTATCCTTGGAAACCCAGTTGAGACATCACTTCTCCTAGGACGCCTTCCCGGCCCCTCCTCATCTCACTGAGAGTTCCTCTCCTGCCTTGTGCCACCCCCAGCCTTGCGCATGCCATGCTTTCAGTGTTGCTTTTGAGACACAGCGTACCTTTCTTACTGTACTGTGATTGCCCAGAGAGCAGAGACGATCTGATTTAGGACCATCCCTGGGAGTAGCACAGTACCTGGCATATGTTACCAAGCCTGGGAGTTAGTCAATAGAAGGTTTCCAGAACTCCGTGCAGAAGGTTGGAGCAAATGTTAAGGAGGTGAACAGCTAAAGCTAGGAGAGGCCTGTCAGACTTCCTGTCAAGGACAGTATCTTGAAGGAGGCACAGAGTTTCGCAGAAAGCAGAAAGGCGGGCTTTCCAATCAGTCAGCACACTGACGAGAGGAACCTGGAGGGGGCCGGTTTGATGAAGTGACTGTGAGCGTTAGTGTGCTGGGCCAGCCACTACGGTGTCCCTGAGCCAAGATGTAATGAGAAACGAGGCCAGCTCCCTTATAGGGAGGGCAAAAGGGCTGAGGGCAGGGCGGGAATCCTGCTAAAGTCCGGGGTTACACTGGAGTTTTGTTATAGTTGCCACTGTGAGCCCAGACAAAGTGTTTTATTTTTTTCGAGACAGAGTTTTCTTCTTGTCACCCAGGCTGGAGTGCAATGGCATGATCTTGGCTCACTGCAACGTCCGCCTCCTGGGCTCAAGTGATTCTCGCCTGCCTCAGCCTCCTGAATAGCTAGGATTACAGGCACCCGCCACCATGCCTGGCTAATTTTTTGTATTTTTAGTAGAGATGAGGTTTCACCATCAGAGTGAGAACCCTCCCCCTGCAAAATTTTTTTAAAAGGCCTGGTGTGGCCGGGTGCGGTGGCTCACGCCTGAAATCCCAGCACTTTGGGAGGCCAGGCGGGTGGATCACGAGGTCAGGAGATCGAGACCATCCTGGTGAACACGGTGAAACCCCGTCTCTACTAAAAATAAAAAAAAATTAGCCGGGCATGGTGGCGGGCACCTGTAGTCCCAGCTACTCGGGAGGCTGAGGCAGGAGAATGGCGTGAACCCAGGAGGCGGAGGTTGCAGTGAGCCGAGATCACGCCACTGCACTCCAGCCTGAGTGACAGAGCGAGACTTCGTCTCAAAAAAAAAAAAAAAAGGCCAGGCGTGATGGGTCACACCTCTAAACCCAGCAATTTGGGAGGCAGAGACAGGATGATCACTTGAACCCAGGAGCTCAGGTTCAGCCTGGGCAACATGGTGAAACCCCATCTCTACAAAAAAATACAAAAGTTGGCATGGTGGCACATACCCGTAGTCCCAGCTACTCAGGAGACTGGGGTGGGAGCCTTGCTTGAGTCCAGGAGGTTGAGGCTGTAGTGGGCTGTGATCACACCACTGCACTCCAGCCTGGGCAACAGTGAGACCCTGTCTTAAAAAGAAAAAAAAAACAGCTGGGCATGGTGTGTACCCCTGAAGTCCCAGCTCCTCAGGAGGCTGAGGCAGGAGGATCATTTGAGCCTCGGAGTTCAAGGAGGCTGCAGTGAGCTAGGAGGACACCACTGCACTCCAGCCTGCATGACAGCAAGACCCTGTCTCTAAAGAAAAACAAGGTGGAGTGGAGAGAACTTGGTTAATTTGTACACGCTCACTTTGCTTGTTTCTTGGATTTTGCTAAACAGGCTCCTCAAGGACTTTGTCCATCCTATTTCTCATATCCCCAGTTGCGGGGCACATAAGAAGGGCTAAGTAAATCTTGGTATGCCCAGTGATCAGCCTGGCCGTGGCAAGGAAAAGGAAAAAAGGGGGGTGGGGGTGGGCTGAGAGTCCTGAGGAGGAAGGAGAGACAGGCTGTGGTCAGGGCTTGGGGAAGACCCTTACATGACAGCATATATGGGCTCCAAACCATCACAGGGAAGTTAGGGAGGGAGAATGCTTTGAAAGAGAGAACGTGCATTTGTGTGGTTCATTACCAAGTTTGTTTGTTTGTTTGTTTGAGACGGAGTCTCGCTCTGTCGCCCAGGCTGGAGTGCAGTGGCGCGATCTCCACTCACTACAAGCTCTGTCTCCCGGGTTCACGCCATTCTCTTGCCTCAGCCTCCTGAGTAGCTGGGACTACAGGCGCCCGTCACCACGCCTGGCTAATTTTTTGTATTTTTAGTAGAGACGGGGTTTCACCATGTTAGCCAGGATGGTCTCCATGTCCTGACCTCATGATCTGCCCGCCTTGGCCTCCCAAAGTGCTGGGATTACAGGCGTGAGCCACCGTGCCTGGCCCTATGTTTGTTTGTTTTTTTCTTTTTTTTTTTTGAGATGGAGTCTTGCTCTGTTGCCCAGGCTGGAATGCAACAATGCAATCTTGGCTCACTGAAACCTCCGCTTCCCAGGTTCAAGCGATTCTCCTGCCTCAGCCTCCTGAGTAGCTGGGGTTACAGGCACATGCCACCACGCCTGGCAAATTTGTGTGTGTGTGTGTGTGTGTGTGTTTTTAGTAGAGACGGGGTTTCACCATGTTGGCCAGGCTGGTCTTGAACTCCTGACCTTGTGATCCGCCCGCCTCAGCCTCCCACAGTGCTGGGATTACAGGCGTGAGCCACCGTGCCCAGCCCCATTACCAAGTTGTAAGCATTGCTAGGCACCTGCTGTCCAAGGCAGATTCAGGGACGCAGTGTCTGTGGTCTCTGGGATGGGAATACCACATTCCAGTGCCCTCTGAACACTCCTTAGAAGAGTGAAAGATTGGAAATGACCCAAGGAGCCAACAGGCAGACCAGGGTTAGTCAAAGTTACCGCTTCGTGACCACCCCCTTGACGCCCTTTAATTTCATTACTGCTCTTTGAAGTAAGTACTGTTATCACCCCGTCTTAACAGCTGAAGAAACTGAGGCTTAGAGAAATGAAGTCACTTGCCCAGGGGCATACAGCTCTCAATTAACAGGACGGACCCTTCCCCCAACTGGTCTCTGATTCAAAAGTCTGAGCTCACCACTGTAACGCCATTCTCCTCAGTTGCTAGAATACTTACTCTTTTACTGTTGAAGGGACACCAGTACATTGGGAACATTTATTTAAAATAGCAGTTGAATAGGCCAGGCACGGTGGCTCACGCCTATAATCCCAGCACTTTGGGAGGCCGAGGCGGGCGGATCACAAGGTCAGGAGTTCAAGACCAGCCTGGCCAGCATGGTGAAACCCAGTCTCTACTAAAAATACAAAAATTAGCTGGGCATGGTGGCTCAACGCCTATAATCCCAGCTACTTGGGAGGCTGAGGCAGGAGAATCGCTTGAACCCGGGAGGCAGAGGTTGCAGTGAGCTGAGATTGCGCCACTGCACTCCAGCCTGGGCGATAGCGAGACTCCGTCTTAAAAAAAAAAAAAAAAAAAAGCAGTTGAATAAAGAAGGAGACAAAAATAGTGTTTCCAACTGCGAGTATATGGAGCTGTAAACATTAAGATTAGACGGACATTTTTGAGGGACGAGCTTCAGCTTGGGTTTTTAGTAAGTGTACCTGGTTATTGAGTACCTGTGTGCCAGGATCTGTGCTAATGCTGAGGATACACAGGACACTCCAACAGCTAAGTCCTTGCCTTCAGGGCTTACACCTAAGTGACATGCTGAGTGGGAAACAGAAAATTGCAATGTAGTGTAATCGTATAATACTGGTATAAAATGTTTCAGTGGCCGGGCGCGGTGGCTCACGCCTGTAATCCAGCACTTTGGGAGGCCAAGGCGAGCAGATCACGAGGTCAGGAGATCAAGACCATCCTGGCTAATGCGGTGAAACCCCGTCTCTACTAAAAATACAAAAAAGTTAGCCAGGCATGGTGGCAGGCGCCTGTAATCCCAGCTATTCTGGAGGCTGAGGCAGGAGAATTGCATGAACCTGGGAGGCGGAGCTTGCAGTGAGCCGAGATTGCGCCAGTGCACTCCAGCCTGGGCAACAGAGCGAGACTCCGTCTCAAAAAAAAAAAAAAACTTTGGAAGCAAAAAGCTAATGTCTGGGATGGTTTCGGCAAAGGCCTCTCCCTGGTGAAGAAAGGTGTTCCAGGCAGCAAATACTGCAAAAGCAAAGGTCCAGAGGCTTGAGAGAGTCACCAAGGTGGAGTGGGTCTGGGGAAGTGGTGTGAGATGAAGGATGGGGTGGTCAGACTCCTGAGCCCCTTGAAAGCCCTACTTGGGGACTTTAACTTTATTCTGGAGGCAGTGAAGATGCCTTAAAGGTTCTAAAATAGCCGGGTGCCCTGGCACATGCCTGTGGTCCCAGCTGGTCAGGAGGCGGAGGTGGGGGGTTGCTTGAAGCCCAGGCATTTGAAGCTGCAGTGAGTTAGGATTGTGCCACCGCACTCAGCCTGGGCAACACAGCAAGACCCTGTCGATGGATTGATCAATCAATAGGTAGGTAGATAGGATTCAACACAGTGAGACCTGTCGATCGATCAATAGATGAGATAGAGTGTGTGAGACCCTGTCTATAGATTGATTGATTGATTGATCCAATTAGGCTTTATTACTCTGGGTTGATTCAAGAAAGGAGATTGTCCATGAAGGGGGTGGAACCCAGAAACCGCAGCTGTCCTGCTCCCCCGCCACACACACACCCCACCTCCAGGAGTCAGAGCTGCTGGTCTCCAGGAGGGCAGGGCCTCAAGGACAAGGTGGCCTTAGAAACTGCCACAGTAGTTGCTTCGGAAGGCTGGGTTATGGGTCAGAGACTCGTCTTTGGTCAACTTCAGTTACCTAGAGGAGGAATGCATTTTGTCTCCGGAGCGTATTACCTTTTCCAAACCCCTCAGGGAAACTGGCAAGTGAAGAACAGGTGGGAGGTCTCTCAGTCGACTCCTTTTTTTTTGGAGATAGAGTCTTGCTCTGTCGCCCAGGCTAGAGTGCCGTGGTATGATCTCAGCTCACTGCAACCTCCGCCTGCCAGCTTCAAGCAATTATCTTGCCTCAGCCTCCCGAGTAGCTGGGATTACAGGCACCTGCCACCATGCCTGGCTAATGTTTGTACTTTTAGTAGAGAGTCAGGATGGTCTCGATCTCCTGACCTCATGATCCACCCACCCTGGCCTCCCAAAGTGCTTGGATTACAGGCGTGAGCACCGCGCGCGGCCTCTCAGTCGACTCTTGAGAGGAAATCATAAAGGCCAGTGTGCATGGCGAGCTCGTTTTGCACCAAGCACTGTGCTAAACATTTTATGTACTTTATCTCATTGACTCATCCTAGCAACCCTTCATGGTAACTACTGTTATTCCCTCCACTGGCAGGCGAGGAAGTTGAGGCCTGAGAGAGGTTAGTTTAGTTTGGTGGTTAAGAGCACATGCTCTGTGGTCATGCTGGCTGGCCCTGAATCCTGGCTCCACCACTTAGTACCTTGTGACTTTGGGAAAGGTGCTTCCCCTCTAAGCTAAGTCTCAGTTTCTCCACCTGTAAAGAGAGCATGATACACCCAGGCACAGTGGTCCATGCCTTCTAATCCCAACACTTTGGGAAGCTGAGATGGGAAGATCCTTTGAGGCCAGCAGTTCAAAACTAGGCTGGGAAACATACTGTCTTTACAAAAAAATGTTTAAAAATTAGCCAGGCATAGTGCCACGCACTTACCGTCCCAGCCACTCAGGAGGCTGAGGTGGGATCGCCTGAGCCCAGTAGTTTGAGGCTACAGTAAGCTGTGATGTCACCACTGCACTCCAGCCTGCATGACAGAGCAAGACCCTGTCTCTTTAAAAAAATAAAATTAAATTTAAAAAAAGGTGTGGTAACAGTACTGATCACAGGCATCCTCTGGTAAGCATTTCCTAAATGCTTCCCTTCCCTTTCCTGAGGCATACTTCTAGTATGCAGGGCAGCCAAATACAAGCTCAGGTGTGTCCAGCCTCAGAATCTCAAACCTCAGCTGCTTTGATCCACTGCTGCTTTTGCTCAAGAAAGAAGCAAAGCTTTGAAATGGAATGTTTCTGAGTCACAATTTGATCCATAAAAACATGAGCTAGACATACAGAGGGTCCTGGCTAAGTCTGACAAGTGCTGGCATACTTTGGATTCTGTTAGGCACCTTCCTGCCTGCTGCCTTGCTCCCTCCGGCTCTGGCCCCGGGGGTCTGTGGCTGCCAGTAGTTGCTGGAGTTAGGGGCTCCAGCAAGCTCATGTGGGCTCATTTCTGCTCTTAGCCAACCCTTTCTTCTTTCCCCATTCTTCCTCTTTATGCCCCCTGCCCCTGCAGTGAGAAAAAACGCAAGCCTGCATGGACCGATCGCATCCTGTGGAGGCTGAAGCGGCAGCCCTGTGCTGGCCCCGACACTCCCATACCGCCGGCGTCACACTTCTCCTTGTCTCTGAGGGGCTACAGCAGCCACATGACGTACGGCATCAGCGACCACAAGCCTGTCTCCGGCACGTTCGACTTGGAGGTGAACTTCTGGGCTGCCTGATACTTGCCAGAGGAATAGCTATGCTGGCCACATCCCCAAGCCCTCCATCCCTGGATTCGAATGTCAGCCAGTCCCCCAGGGGAGACCTGTGGAGGCCATGATTGCCTTTCCTGCCAGGTCGGATATCCCAGCTCCTCTTAGGAGCCGTTGATGGCTCTGTCTGTCAAAACCGTGTTCAAACCCTTTGTGAAAAGGTTTCCATTTCCTTTGGGTATTCTCCCTTGGGGCTAATGAGTTCCATTAGGCTTATTACCCAATGTGAGAAGTAGGACTTCTTTTATTTGTCCTAAATCTATCTGGATCAAGTTGCAACGGGCGCTCCCTCCATCCCTGCGTCCTTGTATCTTGCTATCTGAATGACCAAGGTGGTGTTGGCCTCCTTCAGGCTGCTGCCCCTCAGCCTTCACGTTTTCATACAGGTTTACTGGCGTGTGTGTGTGTGTGTTAGGGTCTCGTTCTGCCGCCCAGGCTGGAGTGCAGTGGCGGTATCATAGCTCACTGAAGCCTCCACCTCCTGGGCTCAAGTGATTGATCCTTCCACCTCAGCCTCCCTAGTAGCGGGACTACAGGTGCACGCCACCACGCCTGGCTGTTATGTATTTTTTGTAGACACAGGGTTTCACTATGTTGCCCAGGCTAGTCTCGAACTCCTGGGCTCAAGTGATCCTCCCAAACTGTTGGGATTATGGGTGTGAGCCACCGTGCCTGGCCCCCGCTGGTATCTGCGTTGTGTTCTTGCACGTTCACAGCTGTTCTCACCAGAGCATCCCCCCATGTGGGGCTTTGGGTCAGATAAGGCGGGAGGCCTGAGAGCAGCTGCCTGGCCGCCTCCTTAAGCCTCTCAGCCGTGCCTCTGCTCTCCGCCATTCCTACCCCCCAGCGCTGGGCCCCATGGGATTCCGACAGGGCCAGCCACCCGCCGACTGGTGTTCGGCCCTCTTTCCTGATGGCCAGCCAAGGTCCGTTGGAGCAGCCCAGTGGAGTTCCATGCCCACCCCCTCTGGGTGCCCCACCTTCCCCACTATGTTGGAAGGGCACAGTGAGGAACACTTGGCCTCAGAGGAGGGAATGATGCTGCGAGATTCAGCCCCCTTCCCACCCCCGTGTCTAGCTGAAGCCATTGGTGTCTGCTCCGCTGATCGTCCTGATGCCCGAGGACCTGTGGACCGTGGAAAATGACATGATGGTCAGCTACTCTTCAACCTCGGACTTCCCCAGCAGCCCGTGGGACTGGATTGGACTGTACAAGGTGATGTGGTGGCAAGGCAGGAAGTCCATCAGCGACAGCCCCTGGTTCATCCTTCCCGAGGGCTCCTGGGAGCTGGGCAGATGCTGACGAACTCACCCTCATCCACCCCAGCGGTTCTTCTGTAGCTAAAGGCTGGCAGTGAAGGGCGGCGGGGAGGCACACAGTACGGTAGCCAGGCCCAGCAGGGAGACCATCTCTTCCTTAGGACTTGCCTTAGGTCCCATGTCCTCCCTGACCACTGATGGCCTGACTCCCCCTCACAGGTGGGGCTGCGGGACGTTAATGACTACGTGTCCTATGCCTGGGTCGGGGACAGCAAGGTCTCCTGCAGCGACAACCTGAACCAGGTACGTCACCAGCACCAGGTACATCACCAGCAGGCAGGCCTGCCTCAGCACTCCTGTCTTGTGGAAGGAACAGAGTGCTGAATAACTTGTCACTCAGAGCTGGGTGGAGCCCAGAGCCCTGGAGCTGACCCCAGTCCTGTCCATCCCCCTCCAGGTTTACATCGACATCAGCAATATCCCTACCACTGAAGATGAGTTTCTCCTCTGTTACTACAGCAACAGTCTGCGTTCTGTGGTGGGGATAAGCAGACCCTTCCAGGTAAGCAGTGCTGGTGAGGGAAGGGGAAGGGTGAGGGCTTGAGCTCATCACTGGCTCCCTGAGGCCCAGGCCTGGGAGCCAGCCGGTACATGAGGGGCCGCTGCAGTGCAGGAACGGGGGTGATGGAAAGCACGGAGGAAGACCCGCTCTCCATTTCCACCACCTGCTTTATCCCTGCAGATCCCGCCTGGCTCCTTGAGGGAGGACCCACTGGGTGAAGCACAGCCACAGATCTGAGCCAGGATGGGAGTGAATCCCAGGCGGAGGCCAGAGCTGGCAGCCAGCTCTGCCTTTCCACTGCCGGGAGTGCTGGGGGCCCAGCCTGGCCCCCTGAAGAGACAGCCAAGTGTCGTCCACATACTCCTCCCAGAGTGAGCTCTAACCAGGCTCATTTGCTCTCTCCACTACTCATCTCTGGAATTAGCCGCTTAAATACAGGTTTTTGTTGCTGAGATGTGAGTGAAACCAGCTAGTGTGTCAACAGTGAAGACCTGGGGACAGTTCTGCGTCTCATTTCTGGATTCCTACCCCCTCTTCTAGTCTTGCCCAAGTAGTCCTGCCAGGCACATGCCCCATTTGGCACAGGCCTGCATTCTTGTCGTGCCGTCCTGGGCCTCAGGCTGTCTGGGAGGGGAGATGCTCACATTTGTACAGGCTACATAGACTGGTGCAAGCAGTGCTGGATTCCAGGAGTCTTGGCATCTCATAGCTTGTCCCCGTGAGGAGTGAGCAGAGGGTCTGGGATTTCTGCTTTCAGCAAAAGCAGTCTGACTCAGTGGGCAGAATGGAGGGGCCCCTCTAGCCAGGCTCTTACGCCATGGTTATGAGCAGGTTGATGAGGGTCCTTCGGCCAGCACAACCTTCCTCCCTACTCACGGCATGGAGTCTGACTGCATGGAAGTTCCAGATCCTGACAGAGAGAACTGGGAAGGATCCAGGTTCGCTTCCGTTGGTAGCTTGAGTCCCATGCCTCCACCCTGCCATCTGAGGAAGGGGTGACAAGTGGTCAAGGAGCTGTGGCCACAGACTTTTCCAGGGTGGTCCTTGGCAGGTGAGGTGCGTCTGTGCCACCCTTGTCAGGAGCCATTGACGACGGGCCCCCCCTGGACCCCCCGGGACCTCAGAGTGGGGGCAGGCAGAAGGGAGAACCAGCTCAAGACATTTTGGAGGATCTGGCCCTGGGGTTCTTCAGAGAACACCCTCTAGGGGCTTTGGGGACATGGCCTGTCCCCACATCCAGCACTTGCCTCCGCCATGGTCACTCGGCAGCCCTTTTCCCAGGAGAAGACACCTCTGGGAGCCTGCTCAGTGCTTGTCCTGCCATCCTGTGTCCTGGGACTGAGGGTTACTCCAGTTGCTCTGTGTTGCATACTCTCCCCCGCAAGCCTGTGTATGAAGAATTGTCCCCTGGCTTCCAGCAGGCCATGGCTGGCTGTTTTGTGACTGTTACATTGTGCAGGGGTAATTATTAGCGTGGCTTTTACACTTGCGTGTGACTGATGATTGGGGGGTGGGGGTACGGTGATGGGCCTGGGACTAGCTGTAGATTCCAGGAACAGGGACCCTGTAGATCCCAACTAGACTTCTGTGTCTGAGATTTGCAGAAGTGGCCAGGACTGGGGCTAGGATGAGGTTCTAGAATGGTGAGCCTCTGGGGCCCTAACCAGGTGGAGCATGCCATCTATGCCGGTGGCCGCTTAATGTACTCTGTTAAGTCAAATGAGCTCTTGTTCATCCCTCCTGACCCGCTGCTCTGCATACCCTGGTGTTGAGCCTTCTGCCTGCGTTAACCAGTCCAGAATGCCACCATCTTCTCTTTCTGCCCCACTTCTCCTCAGCCCCTTCTTGCTGAGTTTTCCCCCATGGTAACCTATCCCTGCCCCCAACACATATACCTAGGGACCTCCAAAGCCCTCACTTGCCCACCTGTTCCTTCTCACATGCACAGCCATCACGAGGGTTACTGCATGGCACCCTTCATTGGGCAGATGGGAAAGCCAAGGCTCAGAGAAGTGGTACAGTCTCTTCAAAGTTCCAGGCACCTGTGGTTTCCCACAGGACCAGAAACAGGAATGGGGTCTGAACCCACCCGCAGAGCGGTCTCAGTAGTCTGTAAAATACAGATGATGTCCCTATTCTCAAGATTACTGTGGGAGAACAATTGCAGAAAGTGTATCGCACTAGACCCGCCTCCCCGTTCTGATTAATGCGGCCCCGGGGCTTGACCCCAGGGGTCCCCCCACATGCTCACCTCCCCCGTGGTGAACTGAGGTCGCCACACACCCAGCCTCCTGTGTGGGAGGGGTGAGCCCAGCAGTGATTGAGAGGCGGAAAGGGGAATGGGGGGTGCTCTCCGTCCTCTGGGCCCCAGTCAGGATATGGCCGTTCTGGGTCCACCCCGACCCACTGGGTGGAAACAGGAAATAAGTGAGACCTGGTGTGCACTGGGTCTACGCCTGGCTCCACGGCTGATAAGGGCCATTGTGTGGCCGCCGGGGATGAGCCTGCTCTGGATAGATGTGCTTCCCGGAGGAAGGAAGGAAGGCTTGCTAGCTTTTCCGGGGCGGGGGAAGCTGTGGGGAGAGAGAAGGGTGCCGGGGGGAAGGCCCCTGCCTATGGGGCTGTCGGTGCCAGCACACACCCACGGGACTCAGCCCTTCCTATGCCAGCCTCTCCCTCTGGAAAGGTCTGTTTCCCCTATCCACTTCCCTGTTCTTACTTCCTATAAGGAATGGCTGGAGACTGGAGGGCTCAGTCTCAGGCCAGGAAAGTGTCAGCTGTGATTTAGCAACAATAAAAATAGAAAAGCAGGAACATCAGGGGTGGGGGTCACCTGGGGGTACTGTTGAAACGCAAGGGATGAACAGGGCTAGAGGTTGCCCACACCCAGGGAACCCAGGAACTAACCTCACAAGCTCTGAGGCTCAGAGGAGGGTAAGCCAAGAGCTTCCTCACAGCGGGACAGCCCCCTGTCCGGGCCCTGCATGACCAGGCCCCAGCAGCCCTGGTCTCTCAAACTCATGGTGGGGGCTCACCTGCTGTGGGGGGCAGCCCCGTTGAGGGGATGTGCAGGAAAGCCAGTGCCTACTAACGGGTCCTCTTGGCCTAGGGGAGGGCATGCCGTCTGGTTTGGGGAGTGGGCCCCGTGCTCTCTAGGTGGTACCAGAGAGTGGGCAGGAGGAGGGGCCCAGCCATAGAGCTGCCGTGGGGATGGGGGGAAGGGGAAAGGCGTCCTAGCCTTTGACCTGGAGCCCAGGGTCCCCCATGGGTGGCTGCATCGGCTCCTCTGGTTACCTGGGACAACAGGCATTTCCTCCATCCCCAGCCCCTCCTCTTCCTGCTCCAACCATCCGGGCCAAGAGGCCTCCCAGTCAGACCTGGACGGCTCCAGCCGTGTCCTGAGGAGCTGGACCAGCCACATCCCCTGGGGCTGCAGTTGAAGCAGAACCAAGTGGCCATCCCGGCGTTAGACCGTAGGTTCCTGGTCCCGGAGTGGTCGGAGCCCGCCAGTGGGCAGGCAGCTCTTGCTCACAGGCCGCGGTGCCCAGGCCGCTGGCTCTCCGCAGGGCGGAATGGCGCTGCAAGTGGAGCTGGTACCCACCGGGGAGATCATCCGCGTGGTTCATCCCCACAGGCCCTGCAAGCTTGTAAGCTGGGATGCTCTGGGCTGGGAGGAGGGTGGGAGCGTCTCCCCAAGGCCGGGCAGCCCCTCTCAGGCGAGCCCTCGGGCAAGAGCTGAGCAGCGGGGAGGGGTTCCGATCCTTGGCGGGGCCAGAACAGACTGAACAAGACGGGGTGAGTGGAAGAGTAAGGATGCAAGGGCCACTAGCAGCAGGATTTTTGGAAGTGGAGGTCTGGGCTTGACTCTTCCCCGGCTTCCCGAACCTCAGTGGGCAGAACCGTGAATACTGGGCACAAAAGGCAAGTGCCGGCTGCTGTGAGGTCGAAGGACCAGGGCATGGAAGCTCCAGGCTCAGTCAACGCCCCGCTCCTCTCCAGTCCGCAGGGCTGGGACCGCCCAAGACTCAGAACAGAAGGACGGTGTGGGAGGTGGGTGAAGGGTCACGGGTGGGTAGAAACGGGGGAGCGCGGCCCTGGCCCGGCCCGCAGGAAGGGGCTGGAGATGCAAAGGGCCCGGAGGAGGGAGAAAGTCGGGCGCCCCCACGCCCCCAGCAGCGCGGCGGGGAGCCGGGTCTTCGGCCGGAGGGGCGCGCGCGTGTTCGCTGTGGCCCCGGGAACGGGCCGAGGCGGGGGCCGCACGCACCGAGGCTTCGCGGACGCGGCCGGGGCTGAGGCGGGGCGGGGCGGGGCCGGAGGGTGCGCGGCCCTGCCCGGGATGACGACAGGCTGCGGCCCGGCCCCCGGCGGGCCCTGGGCGGGGAGAGTGCGCCCGGGCCGCGGATCCCCAAGCCCGCCACGCCGCCCAGCCCGGCCCCGCCCGCGCCGGAAGAGCCACGCCGGTGGGTACTCGGGGCGCGGGGACGGCGGCCGCGGGGGGCGGGTGTGGGGAGCGGGCGGCCGGGCCGGGAGCCGCCGTGCACGAGGCAGGGGTCACGGCCGGGGATCGCTGGGGCCGAAGAACGGCCGCGTGGACCCGTGCGGGGGGGGGGGGTCCCACGACCCGGAGGCGCCGGCGCAGCCTGGTGGAGACTTAGATTTACCTGCGGGGAGCGGGAGGCGGGGAAGAGCGGCCTGGGCTGCAGGACCCAGGACCCTGCGCGCCCTTCGGGCCCCGCCCGCAGCCCTGCTCCGCCTCTGGGTTCCGGAGAAGCCGCCTAAACCCGCCCCTTCCCGTTCTCCGCCCCTGGGGCCCAGCGCGCCCCGAGTGTGACGGGCGGGGGGCTCCGGGGTGGCCGGAGAAGGAGGATGGCCACGCGGCCCTCAGTCCTCACGCTCCGGCCTCCCGCGCACACGCCTGGCTCTGAGATTCATTCATTCATCCAGGGGTCCGGGAAGGGGTGACTGAGCCCCACCGTGTGCCTCGCTGCGTGTAGGGAGTGGGAGCCGTCTCCTGGGAGGGACTGACAAGGAAACAGCTGATTCCTGCGGGGTGCGATAAGGAGGCGCTGCGTGTTTGGGAGAATCAGGAAGGGGTTCTGGAGGAGGTGACACCTGAGCCGAGTCTCAGTGAGGTGGGCAGGGAGAGTGCCCCGGGCTGGGGAAGCCGCAGGTGCAGGCACTGAAGCTTGGACTGGCTGGCGACGGTGCGAAGGCCCCCTCCTGGGGGGAGGGGTGGGGGGAGAGGGGACTGGAGCGGGCCATCTGGCACATCGGAATGCAGGAGCAGTGGGGTAAACTGGGGACAGCAGGGGGGTCTCGGGAGTTCATAGGCAGGGTCCTGGTAAGCAGCAGTGAGTGTGAATCATGGGCCTGGCATATGGAGGGTGTCCTAAACCTTCACTCTATGAACATGAGGTGTTGATTTGATTTGTGTTGCCCCAGAGGAAATGGATTGGTAGGAGGAAGGCAAGGAGGCCAGTTAGGCTGCTGTCTTGGCCCAGGTAAGGAGCAGTGATGGAGGTGAGGTTTTTGTTTGTTTTTGTTGTTGTTTTGTTTTGTTTTGAGATGGAGTCTCGCTCTGTTGCCCAGGATGGAATGCAGTGGTGCGACCTCTGCTCACTGCAACCTCCACCTGCCGGGTTCAAGCTATTCTCCTGCCTCAGCCTCCTGAGTAGCTGGGATTACAGGTGTGTGCCACCGCGCCCAGCTAATTTTTTTTTTTTTTTAGTAGAGACGGGGTTTCACCGTGTTAGCCAGGATGGTCTCAATCTCCTGACCTTGTGATCCACCTGCCTAGGCCTACCAAAGTGCTGGGATTACAGGCCTGAGCCACCGCGCCCGGCCTGGAGGTGAGGTTTTAGCAGGTCGTGACTACTTGGTGTGAGGAGTGGAGGCAGGAGAGCAGGCCTGTTAATGCCAGGCTGTGATGACCAGCTCAAACAGTGCCACCCTTCTCTCTACAAGGACATTAAACAGGGAGTACAGGTTAGGGGTCAAAGGCCCTCTTTTTTTTTTTTTTTTTTTGAGACAGTGTCTCTGTCACTCAGTCTGGAGTGCAGTGGCATGATCTCAGCTCTCTGCAACCTCTTCCTCCAGGATTCAAGCAGTTCTCCTGTCTCAGCCTCCCAAGTAGCTGGGATTACAAGCGTGTGCCACCACACCCTGCTAATTTTTTGTATTTTTAGTTGAAACAGGGTTTCACCATGTGGGCCAGGCTGGTCTGGAACTCCTGACCTCAAGTGATCTTGCCTGCCTTGGCCTCCCAAAGTGCTGGGATTACAGGCATGAGCCACCGCTCCTGGGCCGTTTACTTTTTTTTTTCCCCCATACAAATTTATGTTAACATGTTATGGGTTTATTGCTTTGTTTCTTTGTTTGTTTGACACTGGGTCTTCTGGGGTACCCAGGCTGGAGTGCAGTAGCACCATCACAGCTCACTGCAGCCTCAACCTCTTGGGCTCAAGCAATCCTCCCACCTTAGCCTTCCAAGTAGCTGGGACCACAGGCACACACCATGCCTGGCTAACTTTTTAAAAAAATTTTAGTGGAGGCAGGGGTCTCACCACTATGTGGCCCAGGCTGGTCTTGAACTCCTGGCCTCAAGCGATCCTCCCACCTCGGCCTCTCAAAGTTCTGGGGTTACAGGTGTGAGCCACTCACTGCACCTTGCCTCTGTTCACGTTTGCTGGACCCCCCAGGCAGAGGTGTCTGGCAGCCAAAGATCCATGGTTGTGTAGCTAGAATGGACAGTCCTTGACCAAGGCCCTGTGAGCAATCAGGGTAGAGACCCTAAGTCGCCACTATCTCCTCCCCATTTCCCTTCACAACAATTCCCTGAGGTCTGGAACGGTCCTTGGTGGGCAGCCAGGCCCAGATCTAAGATTTGTTTAATAAACAGAAGTTGAAGCCCTGCTCTGTGCCACCCGTGAGACAAGCTGTGGCTGCCTTTCTGCTGCCTTGGGCTCAGTGGACATCGGTTTATAGCAGCAGTCCCGGGTGCCTCAGATGACACCTCCTCCCAGCCCCCAACACCCCTACCCCATGGCAAGATCTGTGTGCCCTTAGGCTGGGGGAACATTTGAGCTTTCCGCTGTCCGCAGAAGTCAGGCTTGTAGGCACCTGGCCTATAGGAGCTGAAGGGCACTAGATAGCCCAGGTCTGCTGGGCCACCCCATCCCCTGTGGTTCCAGTAAATGCCTCCCCAGGTGGGAGAAGACCCAGAGGCAGCCTTGGGGAAGAAGTCTCCTATGTCACTCAGGGGCCATGGCCTGCAGGGAACCTCTAGGCCCAGAGCCAAAGGCCCTGGCCCACTCCTAAAGCCCACATGTGACATAATAGAATCACACGACACCGACAGGGGCCTGAACGGTGTCACTGAAGGTCACAGCCCTGGTAGCCCTGATAACCGCACAAAGAGGCTCAGGGCAGCCCTGCAGTAAGGTGTTCCAGTGCCCGGGTTCCAGTCCCACTCCTCCTGAGACCTTGCACAAGTCACCTGCCCAGCCTCAAGTTCTTCTGCATTGGAGTGATGATACGGACCTCACGGCTTGGCTGGCGTCACTGAAAGGAGTAACCCAAGAAAGCGCGGAGAACGCAGGAGGCGCCTGGCGCTGCAGCCTCAGCCGCGGCGTCTTTCCCACCCAGGTTCCCCGCTTCCCTCCCCGCCCGGGGCTCGCGCTTCCGTCCAGTGAGGAGGGGCAGGCCGGGGGTTGCCAGTGCTGGAGCCGCCCTGGGGCCCGCGAGCGGCGGAGACGCCCCCTCCTTCCGCCGCCGGGCGGTGGCTGCGGGGGCGCCAGCGGGCATCCCGGGAATGCGGCGGCGCGGCCCGGGAACTGGAAGAAGCGGGCCCGACCCCTCCGCGCGCGGATTCCCCTCATTCCAACCGCGTGACGTGGAGGGGCGGGGCGGACACTGCGGCCGCGAAGCTCCGCCCCGTCCTCTGGCCGCGCCCCCGCTGGCTCCTGCCACGCCCCCGGCCCGAGTCCCCCACGCCTCGCGGGGCAGGGAGAGAGCTGAGCTTCCGGGAGGGGCTCTCTTGACCCTCTACCCCGTCTTCTAGGACGTTCCCCACCCCTGGGCGGGCTGGAGGCTGGGTCGCCTCCTTGCTCCCTCTAGATTTTCCTTGTTCTGTTTTGTTTGGAGACGGAGCTTCGCTCTGTCGCCCAGGCTGGAGTGCAGTGGCACAATCTCGGCTCACTGCAACCTCCGTCTCCCGGGTTCAAGCGATTCTCGTGCCTCAGCCTCCCGAGCAGCTGGGATTACACAGGCGCCCACCACCACGCTCAGCTAATTTTTGTATTTTCTAGCAGAGAGGGGGTTTCGCCATGCTGGTCAGGCTGGTCTCGAACTCCTGAACTCTGATGATCCGCCCGCCTCGGCCTCCGAAAGCGCTGGGATTACAGGCGTGAGCCACCGCGCCCGGCCCTCCCTCTAGATTTTAAACCTGGGGGCACCGCAGCGGGCGTCTCCTCCCGCCCTCCCCCGCCTCTGTCCGAGACGCCGCCATTCCCCCTCCCCCGCTCCCACTCCCCCACCAGCTGGTGCCCCCGCTCGGGGGTCCCCAGGGCCGCCGCTCCGGCCGGGTTGTTGCAGTGACGAGCCTTCCCCGCAAGGATCCGGCCCGCACCTGCCGCAGCCTCGCCCTCTCCCCAGGGAGCGGGGTCCGCGAGCTGGGGGTGGGGCGCTGGGGCTTTGGGTTCCCGCTCTGCCTAACCCCACCAGGGCGAGTCTGTGTACGCCGTTGTGTTGGTGGAGGAGGCAGGTGCCTGCAGACGCGCCTGAGGCTCTCCCCACCGGATCGGAAGCGTGGCCCACGGCCTGGCTCTCAGTAGGCCTCTGCCCGCAAGCAAGTGAGAAATGAGCGTCCGGCCGAGGGAAGGCGGCGGGTGGGGGCAGCGAGGTCTATAGGGGGTCTGGAGGTGCCTTCACGCTCTATCTCAGGCCACCCAACGGCCCTTCTAGGCCTGTGTTAGCCTCATGTTAGGGATGAAGAACAGAAGCCGAAACGTTAAGTGACTTGCTCAGAGTCCCACCGCGAGGAAGAACCAGCCCAGCCTTTTGCAGACTCTAGACGTCCCCGCCCCTGCCCGCGGTGGGATCTGAGCCAAGGTTCGCCCCAGGCGAGGGAGGGTGGTGCCCGCAGAGCCAAGCGAGGGAGGTTCTGCCGAGGCCGCTTCGGAGGTGGGGGGCGTCCCGGAGATCCGGAGGGACTAGGGAGGCCCCCTTCAAAGCAGGGAGGGAGATGGGCCGGGCGCGATGGCTCACGCCTGGAATCCCAGCACTTTGGGAGGCCGAGGCGGGTGGATCACCTGAGGTCAGGAGTTCCAGACCAGCTTGGCCAACATGGTAAAACCCCGTCTCTACTAAAAATACAAAAATTAGCCGAGTGTGGTGGCGCACGCCTGTAATCCCAGCTACTCGGGAGGCTGAGACAGGAAAATCGCTAGAACCCGGGAGGCAGAGGTTGCAGTGAGCCGAGATCGCGCCACTGAACTCCAACCTGGGAGCCAGCGCAAGACCCCGTCTCAAAAAAAAAACAGAAAAAAAAAGGAGGGAGGGAGGAGGTCCGGGCCCAGAGGCGAGTGGGGTGTCCCGGGTGGGGAGAGGCTGTGGGCCCCAAATGCCGTGGGCGGGGGGGACGCGAATTTCCCAGAGGGGGAACTGAGCCCTCCAGAGGGGCCGGGTACTCCGCGCGCTCGGCCAGGGCACCCGTTGGCCGTCCCTGTCCCTGGGGCGCGAGCTCCGTGCTGACGAGGAAAACCAAGATCTTCCTGGGTTCGAGGCTCGGACCAGGCCCCGGCGCGTGTGGGTGGACGGCGTCCCGCACGGAGAACGCTCCGCCCGCCGGGCGCGCCGGCCGTATTTGGACATTGGTTCTATTTTTAACTTTCCCGGGACTCGAGTTCGGGGGTTGGGGGAGGAAAATCCCGCTTCCTCTGGGACCCGCAGGCCTCGGTGCCCGCCCAGCGCCCAGGCCCGCCGCGGAGTGTAGTCCCAGGCCCGGAAGTGAGTTCCGGGTCGGTGTAGACGCGGCGGCCGCGCGGGTTCCGGGCTCCACCCTGGTGCCAACGGCGTCCCTCCTGGAAAACCTGACTCAGGCGGAGCCCGCCCCCGCCCCCGGCCCGCGGACCCCCCGCCCCGACACCCCCACCTCCACCAACCCCACCTGGAGGGGACCCCAGCCCGGCCGCGCGGGAGGCGGGGGAGGCCGGGGAAGCCCCGCGCTTCAGGGGCCCGGGTGGGGGCGGTGCGGGGGGCGGGCCCTCCCTCGCTGACGCCGCCGCCACCGCCGCCGAGCCCGGGACCCGGAGCGCGGGCAGCGGAGCGGGCGCCAGGCCGGCCGGGCAGGATGCGCTACCGGGCGTCGGTGAGCCTGGGGGCGGCGGGGCAGGGCGGGGGGTCCCGGGCGTCCCTCCCCACCTCGCGGCGTCGCCTCGGCCTCGCCAGGAAGCGGGCGCGGCCCAGGAATTCCGGGTGGAAAAACGTCCCGGGAAGTTGCAGGGGGAGGAGGCCGAGGCGGGGAGGGCGGCGCGGGACGCTCGGACCCGGGGCCGGATGAGGAGCCGCCGGGGACGCCTGAGAACGCGGAGACCCCTGACCCGAGGGCGAGGGGGCGGGGACCGCGGCCGGATTTGGCAGCCGCTTCGGCGCGGGATTGGAGCGGGGCGGTGAGGACAAGCCTGGGAGGGGCAGGCCCCCGGCCAGAAATCTGGGCCTTTCGTGGTCAGAGGACACCGGCGGCCCCTTTGGGATCCACCCCCAATCACCACCACCTTGTTCTTCTCTGACCCTGGATACTCTGGGTGTCCATTTTTTGGAGCCCTGAGACCCTGTTTGAAGAGGGATCCATCTCAGCCCTGGTTGTGGGGCGAGGGTCTTGCTCAGCCTGCACCACCCTCCACCCTCCAGTAGGACCCAGAGGCAGCTGGGCTTTCCATGGTAAAGCCCCCATCCCCTGAGGCTTCTCAGGACTCTCAGTGGAGGAGGTGCCTGGGGAGCCCAGCAGCTGGAGGAAAGGGAGTGGCCCCAGCCATGCGAGGGAGGGCCTCCCCCGCGTTCTGGAGTGGGTGGCTGAGCCCAGCTGGGGTGGGAGGCCCTCTGGGGGAACCCCTCTGGTGTAGTCTGGGAGTAACCTCTTGCTTGGTGCTCGACGCTCTACCGGTGGAGGTGGGGGTGGGTCTGGGTGGGAGAGACGGCCCCACCCTGCCTGCAGAATTGACCCTGAGCCATTTGTCCTCCAAAGCACCTGTCACACGTGGCTCAGAGCTGAGGGACCTGAGGTCACCTGGTCTAACTCAACTCCTCCTCCTTTAGGAGGAAGGAACCAGAGAGAGGAGGGGATTGGTCCAAGCTCAACAGAGCAGTCTTTCTGCTATTTCAAGGAGTTCCTTCTTGTGACCCCCCCTTTCTCCACCCAAAACCAGCACCTCCCGGGTTCTGCCCTCTGGTCCTGCCTGCGTCCATGCCCTGTGTCCGAGTCCCAAGTGGTTCATGTTGTCTCTGTTCTGTGCCCGCAGCCTCGGTGATCCCTCTGCTGCCACACTGGGACCCGGGCCCTCCACACCCGGCTTTCCGCACCCGGCCCACCACACCCAGGCCCTCAGCACCCAGGCCCCCCGCACCCGTCATGCTCATGTCCCGTGTCTAGCCCGGAGTCCACAAGCCCCTACGTTCCCTCTCAGTCCCACAGGCGCAGGGAAGTGGCCTTGCCCCGCCCCCGATGACTCTGACCCTCTTCTGTGGCCCATTCTCTGCAGGCCCTGGGCAGTGACGGGGTTCGGGTGACCATGGAGAGTGCGCTCACCGCCCGTGACCGGGTGGGGGTGCAGGATTTCGTGCTGCTGGAGAACTTCACCAGCGAGGCCGCCTTCATCGAGAACCTGCGGCGGCGATTTCGGGAGAATCTCATCTACGTGAGGCCCTTGTGGGGAGATGGCAGGGGTGCTGGGGTCACAGACACAGGCAAGCGGAGGGGAAAGAGACACCAAGGGTCACCGGGATAAACTTTTTTTTTTTTTTTGAGACAGTTTCACTCTTGTTGCCCAGGCTGGAGTGCAGTGGCGCGATCTCAGCTCACTGTAACCTCCTCCCCCCGGGTTCAAGCGATTCTCCTGCCTCAGCCTCCCGAGTAGCTGGGATTACAGGCACCCGCCACCACGCCCGGCTAATTTTGTATTTTTAGTAGAGACGGATTTCTCCATGTTGGTCAGGTTGGTCTTGAACTCCCGACCTCAGGTGATCCGCCCACCTTGGCCTCCCAAAGTGCTGGGATTACAGGCATGAGCCATCGCACCTGGCCCGGGATAAACTTTGGACCCTCTTCCCCCGATCCCAGACCTACATTGGCCCCGTCCTGGTCTCTGTCAATCCCTACCGGGACCTGCAGATCTACAGCCGGCAGCATATGGAGCGTTACCGTGGCGTCAGCTTCTATGAAGTGCCCCCTCACCTGTGAGTGACCCCAGCCCCTCCGGGAGCGACCCCTCTGTCTCCATCTGAGGTGACCCCGCCCAACCCTTACCTTACTCTGAAATGATCCTGGCGTCCCGCGCCACATCTGTGAGGAATCCCACAGTCTCTTGCCCCCCAGTGACCAGAGATGAATGTCGCAACTCAGCTCCATGTGGGTGGGACTCAGTCCCTACCCCGACTCACACCCATGACTTATTCCCCAACTGGGAGTGGCCCCCCAATCTTAGTGACCTCTGAACCCCACCTGCAAAGACCCCCCCCAGCCCTACCCGTGAGTGACTCCAGCCTCCACCTAAGTGACCTCCAGCCTCCCACCTGTGAGAGCCTCTCAGTCCTCCCGCTGGCGGTGACGCCCATTCTCAGCTATGACGGATCTCCCATGGCCCACACCTGTGAGGGACCCCCAGTCCCCATCCTCAAGGGTGTATTCGACTCCCACAAGAGGACTCCACCCAGATGTGGGAGCGGGACTCTCGTGGGGCTCTGCTTGGCCCCCCTCCCCAAACTCCCTGACGAGCCTCCGCCCCAGGTTTGCCGTGGCGGACACTGTGTACCGAGCACTGCGCACGGAGCGTCGGGACCAGGCTGTGATGATCTCTGGGGAGAGCGGGGCAGGCAAGACCGAGGCCACCAAGAGGCTGCTGCAGTTCTATGCAGAGACCTGCCCAGCCCCCGAGCGCGGAGGTGCCGTGCGGGACCGGCTGCTACAGAGCAACCCGGTGCTGGAGGTGAGGGGCAGGGAGAGAAGCCCAGTGCCAGTGCGGGAGGGGAGGGGCAGGGAGAGAAGCCCAGTGTGGGAGGGGAGGGCAGGGAGAGAAGGCTAGTGTGGGAGGGGAGGGGAGGGGCAGGGAGAGAAGCCCAGTGCAGGAGGGGAGGGGAGGGCAGGGAGAGAAGCCCAGTGCGGGAGGGGAGGGGAGGGGCAGGGAGAGAAGCCCAGTGCGGGAGGGGAGGGGCAGCAGTAGCTACAAGGCGGGGTGGGGAGGGCAGGGGGAGAGTGCCAGGTGTCCCTCATACCCCTGTCCACTCCTAGGCCTTTGGAAATGCCAAGACCCTCCGGAACGATAACTCCAGCAGGTTCGGGAAGTACATGGATGTGCAGTTTGACTTCAAGGTACCATGGATGTGTGTGTCGTGAGGATTCCCATTCAGTAGGCTCTACACGTGTGAAGCACCTACTGGGTACCAGGGACTATTCCAGGTGCTGCAATTCCAGCAGTCAAACAAAGCAAACAAAAATCCTGCCTTCCAGGGTGATAAACAATAAACAGGGAAATTGAGGCCGTGGCAGAAAATAAAATGCAGTAAGGAGTGGGGGGCAGGTGCGGTCGTATTAGGGTAGGCCTCACTGAGAAAGTGGCATTTTAATAAAGGCTTGACAGCTGGGTAGGGTGGCACATGTCTGTTGTCCCAGCTCCTCTGGAGGCTGAGGCAGGAGGATCACTTGAGGCCAGGAGTCCAAGGTTACCCTAAGCTATGATCATGCCACTGTACTCCAGCTTGGGCTACGGAGTGAGACCCTGTCTCTAAAAAAAATAGAAAATAATGGCTTGATGGAGATAGGAGCAGGCTGTGCAGGTGCCTGTCCAGGCAGCGGGAACGGAACAGCCAGGACAAAGGCCTGAGATACGAGGGTGCTGGAAGTGTTCCAGGACAGCACGGAGGCCACAGCGGCCAGAGAAGAGAGCAGGGGCCCGCGAACAGAGAGAGGCCAAACGGTGCAGGCCCTTTTGGGTTGTTGCAAGAACTTTTTTTTTTTTTTTTTAACTCTGAGTAGAAGGGGAGTCATCGGGCTGGGTGAGGTGGCTCATGCCTGTAATCTGAGCACTTTGGGAGGTTGGGGCAGGTGGATCACGTGAGGTCGGGAGTTCAAGACCAGCCTGGCCAACATGGTGAAACCCTGCCTCTACTGAAAATACAAAAATTAGCCAGGCACGGTGGTGTGTGCCTGTTGTCCCAGCTACTCAGGAGGCTGAGGCAGGAGAATTGCTTGAACCCGGGAGTTCGAGGGTGCAGTGAACTGTGATTGCACTACTGCACTCCAGCCTGGGTGAAAGCAAGACCCTGTCTCCAAAAATAAAAAATAAAAAAATGACTTTAGCTGCTTCACTGGGAGATTGGGAGTAGACGAATAGATGGGAGGGGAACCAGGCTAAGCAGGGAAAACGGTTAGGGGGCTGATGTCATCATGTAGGTGACAGGTGACATTGGCTCAGACCAGTGTGGTGCAGTGGAAGTGGCGAGCAGTGATTGGATTCTGGATGTTTTAAAGGTTAAGGCAGCAGGATGAGCTGCCTGATTGGATGTAGGGTTTGGAGAAACACAGGCTTCCAGGAGGACTGCCAAGTCCTTGGCTTGAACAACGAGAAGGATGTAGTCACCACTGACCAAGGAGGGCAGACACTAACAGGAGCTTGTTTGAAGAGGGAGAAGGTCCGGTGTTGAGCTTCAGGCCTGTTGAATTTGCGATACCTGTCAGGCATCCAGGTGGAGCAGCCAGGTCGTTGGAGTTGAATCTCCCCATTTCCTAGATGAAGTAACTGAGTCCAGCGTGGGTGGCGTGCCTGAGCCGACGCAGCTAGTGGCAGGGCTGGAATTGGCATCCAGGTCTGGCTGCCAAAGCCCAGGAGTGCAGGGGAGAAGAGGGGCAGGTGGGCTCTTTTCCCAGTCCCCGTGACCCGGCCTCATGCCCTGCCCTGCCCACAGGGTGCCCCCGTGGGTGGCCACATCCTCAGTTACCTCCTGGAAAAGTCACGAGTGGTGCACCAGAATCATGGGGAGCGGAACTTCCACATCTTCTACCAGCTGCTGGAGGGGGGCGAGGAGGAGACTCTTCGCAGGCTGGGCTTGGAACGGAACCCCCAGAGCTACCTGTACCTGGTGAAGGTGAGTGGCTGGCAGGGAGGGCAGGTGCCACCCAGGGATCTGGTGCCAGGGCTGGCAACCCAGCTGTGCCCTTCCTCCAGGGCCAGTGTGCCAAAGTCTCCTCCATCAACGACAAGAGTGACTGGAAGGTCGTCAGGAAGGCTCTGACAGTCATTGATTTCACCGAGGATGAAGTGGAGGTGAGGCCTCTTCCGGGACCCTCGCTTTCCTCCTGTCACACCCCCAAAATCTCCTTTTTTTTTTGTTTTTTATTTTTTGAGACGGAGTTTCATTCTTGTTGCCCAGGCTGGAGTGCAGTGGTGCAATCTCAGCTCACTGCAACCTCCGCCTCCTGGGTTCAAGCAATTCTCCTGCCTCAGCCTCCCGAGTAGCTGGGATTACAGGCGCCCGCCACCACGCCCAGCTAATTTTTTGTAGTTTTAGTAGAGACGGAGTTTCACCATGTTGGCCAGCCTGGTCTCGAACTCCCGACCTCAGGTGATCCGCCTGCCTCAGCCTCTCAAAGTGCTGGGATTACAGGCGTGGGCCAGTAATCCCTTTTTTTTTTTTTTTTTTTTTTTTGAGATGGAGTCTCGCTCTTTCGCCCAGGCTGGAGTGCAGTGGTGCGATCTCAGTTCACTGCAACCTCTGCCTCCAGGTTAAAGTGATTCTCATGCCTCAGCCTCCTGAGTAGTTGGGATTACAGACACCTGCCACCACACCTGGCTAATTTTTGTATTTTTAATAATGATGGGGTTTTGCCATGTTGGCTGGGCTGGTCTCGAACTCCTGACCTCAGATGATCCTCCCGCCTCAGCCTCCCAAAGTGCTGGGATTACAGGCGTCAGCCACCGTGCCCATCCCACCCGCAGAATCACCTTCCACCTTTAACACCCATTCCCACTTCCAGCCCCTTCTCTCCGACACTTCACCACCCACCCCTGCATGGCCATCTGCTAGTTGCCCTCTTGGGGCTCTCTGGCCCCTCTCACCCCCTCCTGCCCCCGGCCTGCTCCCCCAGGACCTGCTGAGCATCGTGGCCAGCGTCCTTCATTTGGGCAACATCCACTTTGCTGCCAACGAGGAGAGCAATGCCCAGGTCACCACCGAGAACCAGCTCAAGTATCTGACCAGGGTGAGTGGGGCGGGCAGAGGGCGACGGGAGGACGGCGGGGGCGGGGGCTGGGGGTGCACCCTCACCGTGTCCTCGCCTGCCCTTGGCAGCTCCTCAGCGTGGAAGGCTCGACGCTGCGAGAAGCCCTGACACACAGGAAGATCATCGCCAAGGGGGAGGAGGTGAGGCCGGGCCCTTGCCCTCGGGTGTGGAGGGGCAGCTGTTCCAAGGCAGCCCCTACTCCCATCACTCCCCTTCGCCTGGTTCCCTCAGCAATGCTGGAGGGATGGAAGGAAGGCTGCTCAGAGAAGCAGAGTGAGAGCCGAGCGCCGTGGCTCACGCCTGTAACCCCAGCACTTGGGGAGGCTGAGGTGGGCAGGTCACCTGAGGTCAGGAGTTCGAGACCATCTTGGCCAACATGGTGAAACCCCATCTACTAAGAATACAAAAATTAGCCGGGCATGGTGGCGGGCGCCTGTAATCCCAGCTACTCGGGAGGCTGAGGCAGGAGAATCGCTTGAACCCGGGAGGTGGAGGTTGCAGTGAGCCGAGATCACGGCAACAGAGCTAGACTCTGTCTCAAAAAAAAGAAGCAGCACAGTGAGCTGGCCAGGGTCACATAGGAAGAGAGTAACAGTCCGGCTAGAACCAGACTCCCACCTCGGGAAGGAGGCCTCCTGTCCCTCTACCACCTTCCCTCTGGGGTGGCCACCTGTCCTCCCTGAGGTCCCACTACCAGCACCCCTCCCCATACTGCAGGCTTGCTGGAGCTGGGAGTGCAGAGTGGTGGCGGCTTCCTGGTCTGCCTGAGCCTGGGAGCAGGTGGGATGCACAGGCTCTGTGGCATTCATCTCCTTGTCTCACGCTGCGTCCACAGCTCCTGAGCCCGCTGAACCTGGAGCAGGCCGCGTACGCACGAGACGCCCTCGCCAAGGCTGTGTACAGCCGCACTTTTACCTGGCTCGTCGGGAAGATCAACAGGTCGCTGGCCTCCAAGGTGAGGGCTCGGTCCACACTGCTCCCAAGGCAGAAGGGAGGGCCGTCGGCGAGGCGGGGGGTGCTGCAGGGTGGGGCTGGCACGCGCAGGGGGCCCACGCCTTCGGTTGAATGACTGCCCTAGGACGTGGAGAGCCCCAGCTGGCGGAGCACCACGGTTCTCGGGCTCCTGGATATTTATGGCTTTGAAGTGTTTCAGCATAACAGGTCGGTGCCATCTTTCCCCCGTCTCTCCTCCCGGTCTCCTGTCCTGCTCCCTCTCTTCTGTCCTCCAGCCTCTCATTCCTGCCCTGTGACTCCCCAGCCAGCCGGGGACTGTCTCTGTGTTTCTCACCTCCTGTGCTCAGGGGCGTCGTCCAGCTTTTCCCCTCTCCTGGTCCTGTGTCCCCACTGAGCCACTGTGGGCTCTTCTCCTTCCTTACAGCTTTGAGCAGTTCTGCATCAATTACTGCAACGAGAAGCTGCAGCAGCTCTTCATCGAGCTCACGCTCAAGTCGGAGCAGGAGGAGTACGAGGCAGAGGGCATCGCGGTGTGTGCTAGCCTGGGGGCACTCTCCGTGGGCCACGGGGAGCCTGGGTATCGGGGCCCCTGGGAGAGGGTGCCAGGACCCCACGGTGATCCCTTCCTTCCCTTCTGCCCCTCAGTGGGAGCCCGTCCAGTATTTCAACAACAAAATCATCTGTGATCTGGTGGAGGAGAAGTTTAAGGGCATCATCTCGATTTTGGTGAGTCCTCTGCGCCTCCAAGGCCTGGTGCTGGAGGCTGGGTGGGAGGATGTCCCCCTTCTCCGTTCTCTCCAGGCTGGTCCACGGAGGGCCAGAGTTTGGGGCTGAGTAGAGACAGGGCAGAGCTGTGAATGGAGGATGGAGGGAGGTGCCGCCCCAGTTGGAAGCTCTCTGTGGAGACTCCCTGTGATCTGCCCCTCCCCTGTGTCTGTGCCTCCCAGCACGGTGACCCCAATCCTCTGTGCGCTCTGACCTGTCCCCCATACGTCCTTCCCCCTGTGCCACACCCCCCAGGATGAGGAGTGTCTGCGCCCCGGGGAGGCCACAGACCTGACCTTCCTGGAGAAGCTGGAGGATACTGTCAAGCACCATCCACACTTCCTGACGTGAGTGGGGCTGCGGGGCTGCTGGGGGCAAGGGCTCACTTGCAGCAGAGCCTGCGGAGTGCAGGAGTCCCTCCGCCATCACAAAACACCAGCCACAAGGAGGTGACCAGGGACGGTGCTGAGTTAAGGACCCCTCACATGTGTCCAGAAACTAAGAAGCTTAGCCAGGCATGCTGACACGCCTGGAGTCCCATCTATGCAGAAGGCTGGGGCAAGAGCATCACTTGAGCCCTGGAGTTTTGAGGTTGCAGTGAGCTAGGATCAACCCACTGCACTCCAGCCTGGGTGACAAGAGCGAGACTCCGTCTCAAAAAAAAAAAAAAAGGGAAAAAAATAAATAATGAATTTTTTAAAAAAGAGAAAGAAGGCCAGGTGCAGTGGCTCACGCCTGTAATCCTAGCACTTTGGGAGGCTGAGGCGGGTGGATCACCTTAGGTTAGGAGTTCAAAACGAGCCTGGGCAACATGGTGAAACCCAGTCTCTACTAAAAATGCAAAAATTCGCTGGGTGTGGTGGCAGGTGCCTATAATCCCAGCTACTCGGGAGGCTGAGGCGGGAGAATCGCTCGAACCCGGGAGGTGCAGGTTGCAGTGAGCCGAGATCGCACCACTGCCCTCCAGCCTGAGCGACAGAGTGAGACTTCAACCCCAAAAAAAAAAACAAAAAACAAGACACTAGTAGCCTGGCTTCCTCCTTCTTCTTGTTTGAGAATGAAACTTGCTAAGATTTTTCATCTTCCTTGTTTGGAAATTGATTTTTATTGAAGGAATCCTCTGAAGTGGGGAGAGGTAGAAACAGGAACAAGCGCCTCTGTCCAGCGCGGTCTGATGCATGCTGTGCATGTCGTCGCTTCACCTGCAGCTGCTCCTTGAGGGGTTCTTGGTGTTTTCTCACTGAGACTCCAAGAGGCGAAGTCATTTCCCCAAAATTAGCTCTCATCTGGGTTGCCGAGCTGGGGTCAGTGCCAGGGCTGTTGAATGCCAAAGCCATGAGTATTTTTTGCATAATAATATATTGAAAATTTGTTTCTGGATGGGCGTGGTGGCTCACGCCTGTCATCCCGACACTGTGGGAGGCCTAGGTGGGCAGAGATCACCTGAGGTCAGGAATTCAAGACCAGCCTGGCCAACATGGTGAAACCCTATCTCTATTAAAACTACAAAAATTAGTCAGGCGTGGTAGTGGGCACCTATAATTCCAGCTACTTGGGAGCTAGGAGAATTGCTTGAACCTGGGGGGCGGAGCTTGCAGTGAGCTGAGATGGTGCCACTGCACTCCAGCCTGGATGACAGAGTGAGACTCCGTCTCAAAAAAAAAAAAAAGACTTGTTTCTAGGAGTCTCTCTGAATCTATTCGGGTTTAGGGGCTGCCTGATTCATTAAATAATAAATACTAAAAACTTGTTCCTGATTATAAAAATAATATTGCTTATTACAGCAAAGTTGGAATGTGCGCAAAAGCCACCTGTGATCCCGTCGCCCAAAGGCCATGGCTGTTAACTGTGTGAGGCATTTCCCTCCTGCCTTTTTCTATGCATTTTTTTTCGTAGTCGAGAACTTGTGTATAAGGCTCAGGGTAAATATCCTGCACATTTTCCCGTATCATCAAACAACATTTTCCTCAGAACACTTCCTGGAGCGGTTCTGACCCACAGATACTCCCCTCTCTCACCCAGCCCTTCGGGGCCCCTGGCCAGCCTCCCAGGTTTCTGCTGGAATCACAAGGCTGCCACAAACATCTCCGTGCCTTCAATCTTTGTCCGTGTCTCTGGTTAGCTGCTTGAAATAGTTCTTAAAAGCAAATGGGTGAAAGGGTATAAACACGCCTAAGACTTAAGTGCTCTCTTGGGGCAGCAGATTCCATTCTGAAAAGTAGTGCGCAGCTCACCACCCCTTCTGAGCAGAGCCCGCAGCGGCCGAAGCAACGAGAGTTTCCCTCCCTGCAGCGTACCCTGGCCGTCAGGAGGCCCAGGTCCCGGTCCTGGCACTGTGTGGCCCTGGCCAAGGCCATCTACCTCTCTGAGCCTCCATGGTCCGCTCTGATCAGGGAGGCCACTGGCCCTGCCTGGCCTGCCTCAGTGACCCAGCCCTGGGGGTGCACCTGCTCTTTTTTTTTTGGAGTGTAGTGGCACCATCTCGGCTCACTGCAACCTCTGCCTCCCAGGTTCAAGCGATTCTCCTTTGTCAGCCTCCTGAGTAGCTGGGACTACAGGCGCCCACCACCACGCCTGGCTAATTTTTGTATTTTTGGTAGAGATGGGGTTTCACCATATTGACCAAGCTGGTCTCGAAGTACTGACTTTGTGATCTACCCACCTCGGCCTCCCCAACTGCTGGGATTACAGCCGTGAGCCACTGTGCCCGGCCTGGGGTGCACCTGGGCAGCTGGTTCCTGCTCCTGAGGCCCTTTCAGCAGGCAGAGGGCTTGGCTCAGGCCGGCAGCCATCTGCAGCTTCCTCCCTGTCACCCCCAGGCACAAGCTGGCTGACCAGCGGACCAGGAAATCTCTGGGCCGAGGGGAATTCCGCCTTCTGCACTATGCGGGGGAGGTGACCTACAGCGTGACCGGTGAGGATCCTGGGGCTGTGTCCCCACAGGGGCCTGCGGGGAGGCTCTGTCTCACCTCACGTCGGTTCTCCCCTCCCAGGGTTTCTGGACAAAAACAATGACCTTCTCTTCCGGAACCTTAAGGAGGTGAGGAGGACGTGGGGAGGCCGGGGTGGGGGTGGGGATAGCCCACAGCTCTGCACCTGTGTCCAGGAGCCTGTCCTGCCTGTCCCTGTGCCCCACCCTGACCCCGGCTCTGCCCACACAGACCATGTGTAGCTCAAAGAATCCCATTATGAGCCAGTGCTTTGACCGGAGCGAGCTCAGTGACAAGAAGCGGCCAGAGACGGTGAGGAGGTGGCGGGACCGGGCGCAGGGGTGCATGCGCCTGAGTGTGCATGAGGGCCTGTGTGAGCCTGGGAGCTGGCAGCGTGCGTGTGAACGCGTGTGAGCCCGTGCACATCTGCAGGTGTCTGTAGGGGGCTGCCTTAGGTGCCTCTTTGCCTACTTTTTTTTTTTTTTTTTTTTTTTGAGACAGGGTCTCGCTCTGTTGCCCAGGCTGGAGTGCAGTGGCGCAATCTGGGCTCACTGCAACCTCCACCTCCCTGGTTCAAGCGATTCTCCTGCCTCAGTCTCCTGAGTAGCTGGGATTACAGGCGCCTGCCACCATGCCCGGCTAATTTTTTGTATTTTAAGTAGAGATGGGGTTTCACCATGTTGGCCTGGCTGGTCTCAAACTCCTGACCTCGGGTGATCCACCTGCCTCGGCCTCCCAAAGTGTTAGGATTACCGGTGTGAGCCACCACGCCTGTCCCTGTTTGCCTACTTGTGTGTGTGTGCTGTGTCTATAGTGGAGTCGTGTGTCTTCAGTGTGGGCTGTGTCTGTAGGGGAATCCTTGTGTACGTCTGTCTCTGTGGGTGCCCATATGTTGACAGCTGCCTCTGTGCGGTTGCTGTCATGTGTCTACCCACTCAGCAGACATTTATAGCAGACACTGCCAGGCACTGAGGTACCACAATGAGTGGGTGTGCCTGCAGCAACATGTGCACAGGGTGCTTTGCAAACTTAGAAGAGGGAACAGCAAACGGCCTGACGGGGCGGAAGGGGTGAGGGGTTGGGGAGGCTCCCTGGAGGAGGAAGCATTGGAGATGACTTGGGAATGTCAGATGAACCTATAGTGAGGGCCCAGTCCAGACACAGAGAGTCTAAAAAGGCCATGAGGTGAGCAGGAAAGCGATGGCATCAAGGAGAAGGACCGGGGGAAAGGCAGGCATGGCCAGGGTGCCAGATGCAGGGAGGGCTCCAGCGAGCTGAAGGCGGAGGTACGGCTGTTGGGCTTGGCAAAAAGAGGGTCAGGGGAGCCCCAGAAGAGTGAGGTCAGTGAGTCCATAGGGAGGTGGAAGCCAGACTGCCTGGCAGGGAGGGCATGCAGGCGACATGCTGCCCAGGGTGTGGCTCACTGTGCCCCTGCCCGCTGCTGCCGTCCACCCCACCCTCTCCCGAAGCACCACATCCTCCCGGCCCTAGCGTCTCCCTGCTGAGGATGCCTACACACCCTCCCGCCCAGGCCTCTCCAGCAAGCCACAGACTCGTGTATCTCATCCTCTTCCCCTAGGTGGCCCCAGGGCACCCTAGATCCCACTGGTCTATAACAAACGGGCCCTTGGTCTGCCCCTCCAGGCTTTCTCCTTCTTTGACCCAGTCCCCCAGGCCAGAAACCTGGGTGTCATCCCCTTTTTTGTTTTTGTTTTTGTTTTTGAGACGGAGTCTCGCTCTGTCACCCAGGCTGGAGTGCAGTGGCGCGATCTCGGCTCACTGCAACCTCTGCCTCCTGGGCTCACGCCATTCTCCCACTTCACACTCACGAGTAGCTGGGATTACAGGTACCCGCCATCGTGCCCGGCTAATTTTTTTATTTTTGTAGAGATGGGGTTTCACCATGTTGGCCAGGCTAGTCTTAAACTCCTGACCTCAGGTGATCCGCCCGCCTCGGCCTCCCAAAGTGCTGGGATGACAGGCGTGAGCCACCGCGCCCGGCTCCGGCCCCCTCGTTCTTTTCTCTCCTTGTCTCCCTTGTCCAGCCACTGGATCTTGCCGGAGTACTTAGCAGCTCCCCCTCAGTCCTTCCCTGTAGCCACTTCACCCGCCCCTCCTCCTTATCCTTTAAAGCTCAGCAGAGCGTCATTTCCAGAAGACGTCACCTGGTGCCCCCTAACCCTCAGACTGGATGAATTGTCCCTTTGTGGGGCTCTCAGAACCCACAGGCATACACCTGCTACTCTCGGAACACCGGGATTGTGAGTCTTTGCCAAGGAGCGTGCTCCTCCGCCAGGCCTGAGATCCTTCCAGGTCCCGCAGAGCAGCATACCCAGATACTAGCTGAATGCGTAGCATGGGACATGCTGTTTAGGAACGCAGCCCTGAAGTTCTAGAAAGAAAAAGAAGGGCCACTAAAGGGAGGTGTAGCACTGAGGTTGCTGGGAGACCTGAGCAGGAGTTTTAGGCTGGAGTGAGGCTCGTAGACTGAGGTCTCTCGCCCAGCCAGAGGGGTAAGGGGTGGAGTCTGGCCCCCTCCTCTGCTGCGAGGAAGCTGTGGTGGGAGGAGTAAGGACCAGGCAGAATCAGAGGCTGCTGCGCGCGTCACCAGCCAGGGGAGTGGGGTACTCGCTGCTGGGGTCAGCAGCTTTAGCCCAGCTCCGGCCAACCTCCCATGCCTCTTGGCTCGCCAGGTCGCCACCCAGTTCAAGATGAGCCTCCTGCAGCTGGTGGAGATCCTGCAGTCTAAGGAGCCCGCCTACGTCCGCTGCATCAAACCCAATGATGCCAAACAGCCCGGTAGGCCCCTCCCACGGGGGACTTCGGGGCCGGGCCTCCCCTGCAGGAGACAGGCCGTCAGCGCCAGCCCGCTGACCACGGCGCTCCCCCTACCCCAGGCCGCTTTGACGAGGTGCTGATCCGCCACCAGGTGAAGTACCTGGGGCTGTTGGAAAACCTGCGCGTGCGCAGAGCCGGCTTTGCCTATCGCCGCAAATACGAAGCTTTCCTGCAAAGGTGGGGGCAGGTCCTGCTCGGTGCCAGGGAAGGGGAGCGGGAGGGTAGGAGCCCCTAGGTCCCATGAGGGCAGACAAGGGTTCTCGGCCCCATTTTAGAAATGCGGATGCGGAGGCCCTGGGCTGCCCTTGGTGGAGGCCCTTGGTGCTGCGGTCCTGACATCAGGCTGGGTGGAAAGAATACCCGGCTCCCCCAGGCCGTGCCCTCCAGGAGCACCCGGTCAGGGGTACAGGAGGCCTCCGTCCACGTGCCGGGCACCAGAGGCAGACAGCAAGCCTTGTAGGGCAGCTTCCAAGGGGCTCCGAAAGGGTGGAGCAGCTTTGTGGTTCTTCTGAGTCGGGGGCCTGGGGGGTCAAACTGAATTTCATCTCTGCCACTTTCTAGTTACTTGGCCTTAGGTAGATAAGAACGGTTTCTTCATCTTTAAAATGGGGGCAGTGACCGAGTGAGCCTCCTGCTAGCTGTGAACGAGTCAGTGGGAGCACCCAGCAGGTGCCCAGAGAAAGCTGATTGGGGTCCCCAGGGCAGGCTGCTGACTGGGGTGGGAGCCGCGTGCATTCCTGTCCCCAGGTACAAGTCACTGTGCCCAGAGACGTGGCCCACGTGGGCAGGACGGCCGCAGGATGGGGTGGCTGTGCTGGTCCGACACCTGGGCTACAAGCCAGAAGAGTACAAGATGGGCAGGTGGGTAGTGTCCGTGCCGGGTGCCTGCGGGGAATGGGAGTGGCAACCCCGGGCTGATCACTACTGCTCTCCCAGGACCAAGATCTTCATCCGCTTCCCCAAGACCCTGTTTGCCACAGAGGATGCCCTGGAGGTCCGGCGGCAGAGCCTGGGTGAGAGAGAGGCCTACCCTTCCTGCTGCACGGGGTCCCTTCTGGGAAGCAGGGAAGTCACTCCCTTGGGCTCCTTCTCCAGGGAGTCCACCCCTCCCTATCAGCTCCAGCCCCACGCCCAGCTCCAGGGAGTCCTTCTCCAGAGAGTCCAATGGCCGACTTGGAGCCCCTCCCCACCAGCTCCAGCCCCACGCCCACCATCCCACCCGCCGCCCCCCTTTTCCGGGCAGTCCCCACATTCATTCTTCTTCACCACTCTCCTCCTGCTCGTTGGTTCCTTCAGCCACTCTCCCATTCATGCCACTCGTGGAGCGCACACGGCACCAGGCTCCCAGCTGGCTCCCCGCGCTCTGGCCAATTGCCTTTCTTTCCCAACCGCAGCCACAAAGATCCAAGCTGCCTGGAGGGGCTTTCACTGGCGGCAGAAATTCCTCCGGGTGAAGAGATCAGGTTCGCGGGCCCATGGGTGTTCAGGAGGGGCGGGGTCTGGGGCCAGGGGGGGCCACCATGGTAAGAAGATAGAGTTCAGCCATCTGTGGTCTCCACGACAGCCATCTGCATCCAGTCGTGGTGGCGTGGAACACTGGGCCGGAGGAAGGCAGCCAAGAGGAAGTGGGCGGCACAGACCATCCGGCGGTGAGCGCCAGGGTGCCTTGTGGGGGCTGCAGAGCAGGGCGTGGGGGGTGGTTCACCGCCAGGCCCCTCACCCCCAACCCTGTCTGGCCCCCCACCCCAGGCTCATCCGAGGCTTCGTCCTGCGCCACGCCCCCCGCTGCCCCGAGAACGCCTTCTTCCTGGACCATGTGCGCACCTCTTTTTTGCTAAACCTGAGGCGGCAGCTGCCCCAGAATGTCCTGGACACCTCGTGGCCCACGCCCCCACCTGCCCTGCGTGAGGTCTGTGGGCACCCCCTGCCAAGTTAGGGACCATCATAGTACACAGCAGAAGGGTCTGATTTCTTCGGGCCAAAGGATTGGTCAGGGAGGGCTCACGGAGGGCCCGGACCAGAGCTGAGCAGTGAAAAGTAAGGTCTCTTTTTTTTTTGAGATGGAGTCTCACACTTTCGCCCAGGGAGTGGCATGATCTCGGTTCACTGCAACCTCCGCCTCCCGGGTTCAAGCGATTCTCCTGCCTCAGCCTCCTGAGTAGCTGGGACTACAGGCGCCCGCCACTACGCCCGGCTAATTTTTTTATTTTTAGTAGAGACGGGGTTTCACCCTGTTGGCCAGGCTGGTCTTGAACTCCTGAGCTCGGGTGATCCACCCACCTTGGCCTCCCAAAGTGCTGGGATTCCAGGCGTGAGCCACCGCGCCCTGCCGAGTAAGGTCTCTTGACCGGAAGCGTCTCCAGATGGAGGGGGTGTTACTTATCCAAAGGATGCAGTAGCATATGTTCGATGTCTTCAGAGGGAAGGGCCCAGGGTGTCCAGGACCTCTGACCTCACTCCTCCCCTTAGGCCTCAGAGCTTCTGCGGGAGTTGTGCATAAAGAACATGGTGTGGAAATACTGCCGGAGTATCAGCCCTGAGTGGAAGCAGCAGGTACGGAGAGCGGGGCTGGGTGAGGATGAGGAAGTGGAGTCAGGGAGTCGCAAGCATTGCTCAAAGGGTGTCCGCCTGGAGGGGCATTTACCCCGGTCTACCGTATTTACCGCGTTCTACCGTATTTACCCCGATCTACCGTATTTACCCTGGTCTACTCTATTTACCCCAGTCTACCGTATTTACCCCGCCTACCGTATTTATCTCGGTCTACTGTATTTACCCCACCTACCGTATTTACCCCAGTCTACTCTATTTACCGCAATCTACTGTATTTACCCCGTCTATAGTATTGACCCCGGTCTACCGTATTTTGCCCTGCCTACCATATTTACCCCGCCTACCGTATTTACCCCGGTCTACTCTGTTTACCCCGGTCTGCTCTATTTACCCCGGTCTGCTCTATTTACCCTAGTCTACCGTATTTACCCCGGTCTACCGGTGACCTCAGTTGGATGCCAGGCCCTGCTGGGCCTCGTGTAGGAAGTGGACACTGGAGTACAGCTGGGGTGGCCAGTAGGGTTCATATCGTGGGCCAACTGCCCTTGATTGGTAGAGACTGCTCAGAACCCTGTGTTGAAAAGTCTGCGTCTTCACTCGGGTCGATTGGTGATATCTGCCCTGATTACAGGCATTGGTTGATGTGCCGTGTTTTTGCCAACTCAGTATTGGATGATGCTAAAGGGCCCACCCAGTAACCTTGAGTATTAGTGATCTGCTGCTTACAAGACCCCAAGCTGGAGCTGAGTCTCAGGGCCACCAGGGCCTGATGGGGTGGGGAAGCATTACCAAGGCCAGTTTCAAAACCCCGCAGTGCCTTCATGACCCCGCTGGGGAGTGCTTGGTGGCGGCAGAGGGTCAGGAAGTGGAGGGTTGATGGGCGTGTGGGGGGCAGGGCTCAGCCTCCTGGTGCTGAGCCAGAGAGGGACCAGCAAGCGGGTGAGGGAGGCTGTCTCAGGTCCTAAGGCTGGCTCTGCCCCCCCAAGATGGTGCTCCCCACCATGACACTCTCCTCACCCCCCTTGTCTCCTCAGCTGCAGCAGAAGGCCGTGGCTAGTGAGATCTTCAAGGGCAAGAAGGATAATTACCCTCAGAGTGTACCCAGGCTCTTCATCAGCACTCGGCTTGGTGAGCCCCTGACTTTCCAGCACTCAGACCTTTCGTCACCATCCTGGTCCCCCATTGCCTCCACTGACTTCCCTCCCCGCCATCTGAGTTGCAGGTACAGATGAGATCAGCCCCCGAGTGCTGCAGGCCTTGGGCTCTGAGCCCATTCAGGTAAGAGCCTGCCTGCAGCCCTGAGTCCAGCAGCACGGTGCTACTGCCTGAGAGCTGAAGGCAGGTCAGGGCAGGGGCGGAGCCTTGGGAGCCTCTCCCCAGCCCCTTCAGCCTGGCCTCTGTCCCCAGTATGCGGTGCCTGTTGTGAAATACGACCGCAAGGGCTACAAGCCTCGCTCCCGGCAGCTGCTGCTCACGCCCAACGCCGTCGTCATCGTGGAGGACGCCAAAGTCAAGCAGAGGATTGATTACGCCAACCTGACCGGTCAGCCAGGGTCCAGGGCTGCAGGGGGAGGGCCCTGCTCTGACCCTCGACCTCTGACCTTTGCCCTCTCCCCTCAGGAATCTCTGTCAGCAGCCTGAGCGACAGTCTTTTTGTGCTTCATGTACAGCGTGCGGACAATAAGCAAAAGGTGCCTTTTCATGGATGGGGAGGAGTGGTGGGGGATGGGGGAGGTAGATGGGGAGGTGGGGTGGATGGGGGAATAGGGGGTGTGGGGGTGGATGGGGAGGTGGGAGGGTGGATGGGGGTAGATTGGGGGGTCAGGAGGTGGATGGGGAGGTGGGAGGGTGGATGGGGGTGGATTTGGGGGTCAGGAGGTGGATGGGGAGGTGGGGCGGGGGTTCCTCAAGTTCTGGGCAGGGCCTGACCCCTCCTCCTGCCTGGCCCCCCAGGGAGATGTGGTGCTGCAGAGTGACCACGTGATTGAGACGCTGACCAAGACAGCCCTCAGTGCCAACCGCGTGAACAGCATCAACATCAACCAGGGCAGGTGAGGCGCGGGCGGCCCCCGGGGACAGGGCGGGGGTGGCGAGGGGGCTGTGTGGGCACCCAGGGACAGGGTGGGGGTCCACCTTAGGGTTGGGGGTCTGCCTCCATGGAAAAACCCTCACCCACCCCGTTCCCCCAGCATCACGTTTGCAGGGGGCCCCGGCAGGGATGGCACCATTGACTTCACACCCGGCTCGGAGCTGCTCATCACCAAGGCCAAGAACGGGCACCTGGCTGTGGTGAGTGGGGCCTGCTTTCCCGCTTATGGCCTGGCTGTGATAGCCAAGCCTTCCTTGGCTGTGCTTGGCAGAGCCCAGGCACCTCACCATGGGCCTTCATCCAGAGGCCATCATACCACCTCTTCCATCCCTTGGCCCACCCATGAGGGCCAGAGAGAGCCCCTCAGTGCAGAAAGTTGTAAAGGTGGCAGCACGGTGGCTCATGCCTATAATCCCAGCACTTTGGGAGGCTGAGGCGGGTGGATCACCAGAGGCCAGGAGTTTGAAACCAGCCTGGCCAACATGGCAAAACCCATCTACTAAAAAAATGCAAAAGGCTGGGTGCAGTGGCTCACACCTTTAATCCCAGCACTTTGGGAGGCCGAGGTGTGTGGATCACCCGAGATCAGGAGTTCGAGACCAGCCTGGCCAACATCGTGAAACCCCATCTCTACTAATAACACAAAAATTAGCCGGGCGTGGTGGTGCACGCCTGTAATACCAGCTACTAGTGGGGGCTGAGGCGGGAGAATTGCTTGAACCCAGGAGGTGGAGATTGCAGTGAGCTGATATCATGCCACTGCACTCCAGGCCTGGGGAACAGAGTGAGATGTCATCTCAAAAAAAAAAAAAAAGGCCAGGCACAGTGGCTCACGCCTGTAATCCCAGCACTTTGGGAGGCGAAGGCAAGTGGATCACCTGAGGTTGGGAGTTCGAAACCAGCCTGACCAACTGGAGAAACCCCATCTCTACTAAAATACAAAATTAGCCGAGTGTGGTGGCGCATGCCTGTAATCCCAGCTACTTGGGAGGCTGAGGCAGGAGAATCGCTTAAACCCGGGAGGTGGAGGTTGCGGTGAGCCGAGATTGCGCCATTACACTCTACCCTGGGCAACAAGAGCAAAATTCCATCTCAGAATTTGTATACAAAAAAGTTAGCCTGGTGTGGTGGCGTATGCCTGTAGTCCCAGTTGCTCAGAAGCCTGAGATGAGAGGATTGCTTGAGCCCAGGAGGTTGAGGCTGCAATGAGACCCAAGATCTCACCACTGCACTCCAGCCTGGGTGACAAAATGAGACCCTGTCTCAAAAAAAAAAAAAAAAAAAAAAAGGCAGCACGGCAATGCAGGGAAGATACATAGGCTGATTGGGGGTGCCAGGAGGGAGGACAGGCTCACAGGCTCACGCTGGCCAGGGCGGTGGGCATTCCTATGGGAGTCAGGTCTGAGTCTCCAGGATGGAGACCACTAGGCCCCCACCACTCCTGCCTGCATCGAACCCATGAATCTGAGCGCTGGGGCTGGGTGCGGCGGCTCACGCCTGTAATCCCAACTCTTAGGGAAGCAGAGGTGGGAGGACAGCTTGAGCCCAGGAGTCCAAGACCAGCCTGGACAATATAGCGAGACCCCATTCTCCATAAAAAGGAAAAAACAAGGACGAAAAGAAAAGTCTGAGTACCGGGGCCCCCGTCTGCTCCCCTCACCACTTGGCCGTCTCTCTCCGCCCCCACAGGTCGCCCCACGGCTGAATTCTCGGTGATAAAGGCGCCCACTGGACCCTCCCAACGCCCAATGCTTTGCTTTTCTCCTCCTCCCCTTCCCAGTTACCAAAGACTCGAACTTCCAGACAGGGACCCAGGGACACCCCGAAGCCCACCTGCAATCTCCCACCTCCTGCCCATCCCTCTCTTGAGGGAGCAGCAGGGGCCAGGAGCTACCCCAGGAGTGGGCCAGGCCGGGCCACAGCAATAGGAAAGCCAGGGCCAGAGCGAGCCATGCCAGCCCTACTGCCGATGCCAAATATTTGAGAGAAGGGAACTTTTGCTGAGGTTTTCTCTGAGGTTTTTTTGATGCTTTATAGGAAACTATTTTTTAAAAAAAGCCATTTCCCACCCAAGGACACAGTGGATGTGTTTTCCCTGACTCCAGCAGGGCAAGGAATGTAGCCGAGAGGTTGTGTGGGCTGGGCTCTGGTGCCCTCTTCCCTGGCCAGGACACCTCTCCTCCTGATTCCCTTGGCACCTTGTCTTTCTGTCTGTTTACCTGTCTCCCTGCCTGCCCATCTGCATCTTTTGCAGCCCACTCTGACTTCCATCTGGGGGCTGAGACCACCCTTGCCTGCCCCCTTCTTTCTGCCTTAAGAATGTCCTTTTAGGCTGGGCATGGTGGCTCACGCCTGTAACCCCAGCACTTTGGGAGGCGGAGACGGGCAGATAACCTGAGGTCAGGATTTCGAGACCAACCTGACCTACATGGAGAAACTCCGCCTCTAGTAAAAATACAAAATTAGCCGGGCATGGTGGTGCACGCCTCTAATCCCAGCTACTCGGGAGGCTGAGGCAGGAGAATCACTTGAACCCGGGAAGTGGAGGTTGCAGTGAGCCAAGAGTACACCACTGCACTCCAGCCTGGGCAACAGAGCGAGACTCCGTCTTAAAAAAAAAAAAAAAGAACGCCCTTTTACTGTCCTCATCATCCCAGTTTGAGGCAGTGCTGGAGTGGGGAAGGCCGTCTTAGACCATAGAGGTTGGAAGACGCTGAGAGATCATCCAGCCCAGCCCCTTGATGTTACAGAGCAGAAGACAGATGCCCAAACAGGAGAAGGCACTTGCCCACGGTCATACGGCAGGTTGCCACAAAACCAAGATGGCAGCCCTTCCTCAGCGTGCCTCACTGCCACTCCCAGAGCCAGGGAGCCCCATAAAACCCACATCATGTCTTAAGAGTATATCTGGCTCCTTGACCAGCAATCGGCCCTGGGAGCCACCAGGTGGGAAAAGCGCCTCTGCCAGAGTCCAGGCCTTGGGATGACAGACAGCTTGCCCGCACACTCGGGCCCCACTCAAGGATGTAGGGCCTTTTCTGGCCCCTGACCCCTCCCTGGCATGGGAGCGTGGGGACGGGGCTGGCCTTGGGAGGAGCGGCAGGGGCATCACCTCCTTCTGCTGCTTCTCCCTGCTCCTACCCTCAAGGGCCTGGGGGCTGCCCAGCTGCCTCTATGCCCTTCTGGGGGTCTCAGCCCACTGCTGACACTTCTGCAATCCAGAGAAACACTAAATAAAGCAATACGTGTTTGCCAATGTGGTCTCCTTATGAATATTAGGAAACGAAGAGGGCCCCGGAAGGCAACCAAGGGCCTCGTGTTGCAGGTTTTTCTCGAGACAGTCTCGTTCTTGTCACCCAGGCTGGAGTGTAGTGGTGTGATCTTGGCTCACTGCGACCTCCACCTCCCAGGTTCAAGTGATTCTCCTGCCTCAACCTCCTGAGTAGCTGGGACTACATCATGCGCCACCACGCCTGGCTAATTTTTGTATTTTTAGTAGAGATTGGGTTTCACCGTGTTGGCCAGGCTGGTCTCGAACTCCTGACCTTGGGTGATGCCTCCCACCTCGGCCTCCCAAAGTGCTGGGGTGACAGGCATGAGCCACCGTGCCCGGACACCTCTCGTTCAAATTCTGTTGCAAGTGACAAACCCAGTCCAAACTGGCTTGGGCCAAAAAAAGGATATTTATAAGCATTAGCACCTTAGTCCCAGAGTAAGGCTACTTCCAGGTGCTCACACACTGTCAGGAATGTGTCTGGAACCATCGCCTGGCTGAACCTTCCTCTACAGTGGCTTCTTTCCCAAGCAGATTCTCACCTGGAGGTGGGGTGGCAGCAACAGCCACCCACAGCTCCAGGCTTTCATTCTGTCAGTTCAGCATTGGAGGCAGAAAGAGGAAGTGCCTCTTTCCCAAAATGTGGAAGTCTCAGAGCGGATTCTCAGTGCAGCACCTTGAATGAGGCATCCACCCTGACCCAATCACTGTAGCCAGGGAGAGGAATAGATTCTGATTGGTCAGGCCTGGATCGAGTGCCTGCCCCTGGAGACAGAGCTACCAGGGGCACACCGGAACCCACACCGGAAACCACAGAACCAAGAGTGGGAGGAGATGACTCGCCAAAATGAAATCAGTGTCGCCTCCACAAGAAAGAGAATGAGTGGGCCGGGCGCGGTGGCTCACGCCTGTAGTCCCAGCACTTTGGGAGGCTGAGGCAGGTGGATCACCTGAGGTCAGGAGTTCAAGACCAGCCTGGCCAACACGGTGAAACCCCATCTCTACTAAAAATACAAAAATTAGCCAGGCAGGGTGGCGTGTGCCTGTAATCCCAGCTACTCGGAAGGCTGAGGCAGGAGAATCCCTTGAACCCCGGAGGCGAAGGTTACAGTGAGCCGAGATTATGCCACTGCCCTCCAGCCTGGGCGACAGAGCAAAAAAAAAAAAGAAAGTGCTTCAAGCTGCAACCACGGAGCTCGTCGTCAGCAGATGGCTGTGAGTTTTTCCAAGAGGGCGGCGCGCTGTGGGTGGAGGGAACGGTGCATGTGGAGCTTAGAGGCAAGAACAGGTTTGGCCCGGGGTCAGGCCAGCTGCCTGAGGAGCTTAGATTTGAAACCTGGGGCAGAGATTCTCAAACAAGGAGATACCACGCAACGTGGTGTTTTGGGCTTGACACGATCCTGTACGCACACCTACATTTTGACACCTCTCTCCATGATTAATTTTCCCGAGGAAAAATGAAACCACAATTATTCGTCCACTTTATCAGCAGTAACGATGCCTCCAAGAAGCTGATAGATAAGATAGGTATTAAGTGCAATTACATGCTTTATAACTGTGTCGACATTCCTTTCTCTAGCAAACCAGAATGCACGCGAGAATGACATCACAGACATTACCCAGACGTCCGCCTTTTTTTGTTTGTTTGTTTGTTTTTTTGTGACAGAGTCTGTCGCCCAGGCTGGAGTGCAATGGCACGATCTCAAAGTGGTCACTCCAAAGTGGTGGGATGACAGGCGTGAGCCACCGTGCCCAGCCTACTCTGACCTTTTGAGAGGTAACCAGGACTGGTTTGTGCCCTCAGCTCACATCCTGAGGGAAGTCCAGTGACCTCCAGGAAATATCTGCCAATTATGGGAAAAGCTAATGCTGGCTCTAGACAAGAGCTTCCGCCAGTTCTCCATTCATCCTTCCTTCATTCAACCCGGCGCTTTGGGAGGCCGAGGTGGGTGGATCATTTGAGGTCAGGAGTTTGAGACCAACCTGGCCTCCTGAGGCAGGAGAATTGCTTGAACCCGGGAGGTGGAGGTGGCAGTGAGCTGAGATGGAACCACTGTACTCCAGCCTGGGCAACAGGTTTTTGTTTGTTTGTTTGTGTGTTTTGAGACGAGTCTCACTGCATCGCCCAGGCTGGAGTGCAGTGGCGCGATCTCGGCTCACTGCAACCTCTGCCTCCTAGGTTCAAGCAATTCTGCCTCAGCCTCCTGAGTAGCTGTGACTACAGGTGCGTGCCACCACGCCCAGCTAATTTTTGTATTTTTAGTAGAGACGGAGTTTCACCATATTGGACAGGCTGGTCTCGAACTCCTGACCTCATGATCCGCCTGCCTTGGCCTCCCAAAGTGCTGGGATTCCAGGCATGAGCCACCGCGCCCGGCCCATTCAACCAGTATGAATTGAAGGAATGCTTGCAATGTGCCAGGATCTCAGTGAGGCTCTTGGGATATAGCAGGAACAACAAAAAGACCCAAATCCCTGCTCTCATGGAGCTTACACTCTAGCAAAGAATAGACAATACGTAAGGAAAATACCTAACATATTAGAAAGAGATAAGTGCTAGGAAAATAAGCAAAGCAGACAAGGGGAGAGGGAGTGTTGGTGTGTAGTTTGCAGTCAGGCAAGGCCTCACAGAGGAGATGACATCAGAGCGGGGACCTGAACGAGGAGAGGAAGTGACGGCTAGGATCTGGAGCAAGAGTGGTCAAGGCAGAGGGAACAGCAAGGCAAAGCCCTCGAGGAACGTGGAGTCTCCTGAGAGGAAAGGGAAGAAGGCTGGGGGCAGAGAAGAGTGGCAGAGGAAATGGGTACCTTCTCCTTGATTCTGCAAGAAGGCCTTTGTGTGAGCAGCTTCCCTAAAAGATTGCAGCGATGAGAGGAGTTTGCACGCAGCAAAGCAAATAACCCATTCTCGATGGTCCCAGAATCACATTGCCAGTGGGGACATCTTACTGACCTTTCCTGGAAGGCGCAGCATCCTGCCTGTGCTCCTCGCTCCGTCTCTACCCAAGACTCTCCTTGGAGTTCCCCTCACATGGTGCCCCAGAGTTCTCTTTTATTTCTTTATTTAGAGATGGAGTTTCACTCTTCTCACCCAGGCTGGAGTGCAGTGGCTCGATCTCGGCTCACTGCAACCTCTGCCTCCCGGGTTCCAGCAATTCTCCTGCCTCAGCCTCTTAAGTAGCTGGGATTGCACGCGCCCGCCACCACGCCTGGCTAATTTTTTGTGTTTTTAGTAGAGACGGGGTTTCACCATGTTAGCCAGGATGGTCTATTCTTCTTTAAAAAATTCTTTTTTGGCCGGGTGCGGTGGCTCACACCTGTAATCCCAGCACCTTGAGAGGCCGAGGGAGGCGGATCACCTGAGGTCGGGAGTTTGAGATCAGCCTGACCAACATGGAGAAACCCTGTCTCTACTAAAAATACAAAAAATTATCCAGGCATGGTGATACATGCCTGTAATTCCAGCTACTCGGGAGGCTGGGGCAGGAGAATCACTTGAACCCGGGAGATGGAGGTTGCGGTGAGCTGAGATCGTGCCATTGCACGGCAGCCTGGGCAACAGGAATGAAACTCCGTCTCAAAAAAAAAAAATTATTTTTCTTGTAATTTCCGTATGCCCTAGGGAGGGATCTCAGAGGGACTGCTTTGGAACAGGCAGTCTCTGGGTAAGGTCCAGAGCTCACAGACCAGCCAGAATTCACACTGGGACGGCTGCTTCTGCTGGCTCACGGTGCCAGGCTGTCACTAAGCCAGGGTCACGATGAGTCACCTGCAGCAGGAAAGGTGCCCTTGTGCCTCCCAGTCCCCCACCCCCCACTTCCCCAGAGCAGGCCCAAGGGTGTGTAAGGTGAGTCCAGCAGGACTGTGTTATTCCTTAGACCATAATCCACAGCTTACTGCTTTTTTAAAAATGTAGATTTCTGCCAACCCTTCCTCCCAATTCCTATCTCAGAAAATTGAGGGTAGAGCAGAGTGACCATAGCTGTCTCTCCTTCCAGGATTTGAACCCTAGCTCCTCACTCTGCGACCATGTCTCTCTGGACACATTACTTAAACTCTCTGAGCTTCAGTTTTCTCTTTTGTAAGATGGGGATACTTGTCAAATAAGGTTGTTGAGAGGATTAAATGAGATGATCCATACAAAGGCAGTCAGCACTGTGCCTGGCAGATGGTCATCTCTGAATCAATGTTAGCGGTCCTGAATGCTTCTGGAGCACCTCATAGACTAGCTGCTTGGCCTTTGAGGACATACACAGAACTGCAAATGAAAAATTACAGTAAAATGGGTAAGAGCTGTCATGGGAATAATTTGGACATACTGCTGTTGATGAAGAGAGGGAGTGATGGGATGGTTAAGAAAGGGAAGACATTTGGGCCGGGTGCGGTGGCTCACGCCTGTCATCCCAGCACTTTGGGAGGCCAAGGCAGGCAGATCACAAAGTCAGGAGATCAAGACCATCCTGGCTAACACGGTGAAACCCTGTCTCTACTAAAAAAAAAAAAAAAAAAATTATCCAGGCGCGGTGGCGGGCGCCTGTAGTCCCAGCTACTCGGGAGGCTGAGGCAGGAGAATGGCGTGAACCCGGGAGGCGGAGCTTGCAGTGAGCCAGGATCGCGCCACTGCACTCCAGCCTGGGCGACAGAGCGAGACTCCGACTCAAAAACAAAAAAAAAAAAAAAAAAAAAAAGAAAAAGAAAAAAAGAAAGGGAAGACATTTGAATTTGAGACTCCAAAGTGGGTAGAAGAACATTCCAGGAAAAAGAAACCCAGCATTCACATAGGAGCAGTTAAACGAGACTGTGGACCAGCACAGTGGTACCTCTATAATCCCAGCTACTGAGGAGGCTGAGGAAGGAGGACCCCTGGAGCCCAGGAATTAGAGTCCAACCTGGGCACCATAAGAAGACCTCATCTCTTTTTTTTTTTTTCTGAGACGGAGTCTCACTCTATCGCCCAGGCTGGAGTGCAGTGGCTCGATCTCAGCTCACTGCAAGCTCCGCCTCCTGGGTTCACCCATTCTCCTGCCTCAGCCTCCTGAGTAGCTGGGACTACAGGCGCCCGCCACCACGCCCAGCTAATTTTTTTTGTATTTTTAGTAGAGACCGCGTTTCACCGTGTTAGCCAGGATGGTGTCGATCTCCTGACCTCGTGATCCACCTGCCTCAGCCTCCCAAAATGCTGGGATTACTGGCGTGAGCCACAGCGACCAGCTGACCTCATCTCTTAAAAAAATGATGATTATTATTTTAGAGAGGTGGTCTCACTCTGTCACCTGGGCTGAAGTGCTGTGGCATGATCATAGCTCAATACAGCCTCGAACTCCTGGGCTCAAGTGATCCACCCGCCTCAGGTTCCTGAGTAGCTGGGACTATAGCTGGATGTGCCACCACGCTCGGCTATAAAGAAAAACAATGTTTTTTGAGATGGAGTCTCGCTCTGTCGCCCAGGCTGGAGTGCAATGGCGCGATCTCACCTCACTGCAACCTCTGCCTCCCGGGTTCAAGTGATTCTCCTGTCTCAGCCTCCCGAGTAGCTGGGACTTCAGGCACCTGCCAGCACATCCGGCTAATTTTTTGTATTTTCAGTAGAGATGAGGTTTTGCCATGTTGGCCAGGCTGGTCTCGAACTCCTGACCTCCTGGCCTCCCAAAGTGCTGGGATTACAAGCATGAGCCACTATGCCTGGCCAGAAAAAATTTTTAATTAAAAAAAAATGAGCCTGGCCAATATGGTGAAACCCCGTCTCTACTGAAAATACAAACATTAGCCGGGCGTGGTGGCGGGTGCCTGTAGTCCCAGCTACTCGGGAGGCTGAGGCAGGGATAATCGCTTGAATCCGGGAGGCGGAGATTGCAGTGAGCCGAGATCACGCCACTGCACTCCAGCCTGGGCAACAGAGCAGGAATCCATCTAAAAAAAAAAAAAAGAGAGAGAGAGACTGTGGCCCAATTTTATGCTCTGAGCTAAACTGGGAGTTTGAACACCTGAAGACTGTTAAAAGTTTTACACAAGGTAGCAACACATTCAGATTTGTATACATATATATATATTTTTGAGACAGGATCTCCCTCTGTCACCCAGGCTGGAGTGCAGTGGCATGATTTCGGCTCACTGCAACCTCCGCCTCCTGGGTTCAAGCGATTCTCCTGCCTCATCCTCCTGAGTAGCTGGGATTACAGGCGCCCGCTAACACACCTGGCTAATTTTTGTATTTTTAGTAGAGACCGGGCTTCACCATATTGGTCAGCCCGGTCTCGAACTTCTGACCTCAGGTGATCTGCCAGCCACAGCCTCCCAAAGTGTTGGGATTACAGGCATGAGCCACGGCGCCCGGCCAGATCTGTATTTTAGAAAACTCAGTGGGAGTTGTTTGCAGTGCGATTAGGGGCAGCCAGACGAAAGAGCACCAGCGAGCACGACACTCGTAGGAACACAGTCCAGAGGCAATCATGAGGGCAGTGAGAGTAGGAGATGCCCCTGGCTACAATTTAGTGTTTAGAATTATCTGGGCAGGTGACCCCAAAGCCTCAAAAGAGAAGAGAACTCTGTACTTCACGTGGCTTGGTACACTCTGCTCCCTTTGCTTTGAATGTCCTTCCCCGCCGAGTGCGGTGGCTCACGCCTGTAATCCCAGCACTTTGGGAGGCCGAGGTGGGCGGATCTCAAGGTCAGGAGATCGAGACCAGCCTGGCTAACACGGTGAAACCCCATCTCTACTAAAAATACAAAAAGTTAGCCGGGCGTGGTGGCGGGTGCCTGCAGTCCCAGCAACTCGGGAGGCTGAGGCAGGAGAATGGCGTGAACCCGGGAGGCGGAGCTTGCAGTGAGCCGAGATCACGCCCAGGCACTCCAGCCTGGGCGACAGAGCGAGACTCCATCTCAAAAAAAAAAAAAAAAAAAAAAGAAAGAATGTCCTTCCCCATTTGTCATTCAGCAGTCAACACATGCTGCCTCCTCTGGGAAGCCCTCCTGGATTACTCCATAGACTGGCTGTGGGGGCTCTGCTCTGTGTTCATGTCCGTTTCCCATGATAGCGTTTGTCAGCATTTGTCATCCTTTTGTCATCCAGTTTCCTGGTTCCTCTCACTGGTCTGTGAGTTCGAGGAGTGCAGGGCCCAGCCATGATAACCTTTGCACCCGCAGTGCAAGTGGAGTGTCAACAACAATGTCCTAGGTGAATCAATGAAAATGAGAACGTCAGCTGGTCTGTGGAGAAGCTAGAGGAACGAGCAGAAACGGACCGACGTGGCCGGGCGCGATGTTTCTCGCCTGTAATCCCAGCACTTTGGGAGGCCGAGGCGGGCGGATCACCTGAGGTCAGGAGATTGAGACCATCCTGGCCGACATGGTGAAACCCCCGTCTCTACTAAAAATACAAAAAACAGCCGGGCGCGGTGGCTCACGCCTGTAGTCTCAGCTACTCGGGAGGCTGACGCAGGAGAATCGCTTGAACCCGGGAGCAGTGAGCCGAGATCGCGCCATTGCACTCCAGCGTGGGCGACAGAACAAGACTCCGTCTCAAAAAGAAAAAGAAAAAAGAAACAGACTGATATCGCAGGAAGCCTGGCCGAGAACTCAGGCCCCAGGGCCACACGCATCTTTTCTCCTCCAATTCTGTCTGGGAGTCGCTGCCTAGAAGTCCCAGGTCGTCCAGGAACCGGGGCCCAGACGAGAAGCACCGCTCTGTCCGCAGCGCAGGCGCGCGTCTCTGCGGGAGGCTGCGAGGCCCCGCCCCTCGGGCCCTAGACCCCGCCTCCCATCCCCCGCAGCCCGGGCCCGGGAAGGGCGGCACCGCCCATGAATCCGCATGCGCAGTGCGCGCGCGAGGGCGCCTTGCCCTTCTCCCAATGGCGGGCCGCGGGCCCCTTCCCGGCAGCCTCCCTCGGGCAGGGAGCGCGTCATTTCCGGAGGGGGAGGCCCGCGGCTGCCGCCGCCATTTCGGGCGCTGCTGTGAAGCTGAAACCGGAGCCGGTCCGCTGGGCGGCGGGCGCCGGGGGCCGGAGGGGCGCGCGCGGCGGCGGCACCCCAGCGTTTAGGCGCGGAGGCAGCCATGGCGGGCAACTTCGACTCGGAGGAGCGGAGTAGCTGGTACTGGGGGAGGTTGAGTCGGCAGGAGGCGGTGGCGCTGCTGCAGGGCCAGCGGCACGGGGTGTTCCTGGTGCGGGACTCGAGCACCAGCCCCGGGGACTATGTGCTCAGCGTCTCAGAGAACTCGCGCGTCTCCCACTACATCATCAACAGCAGCGGCCCGCGCCCGCCGGTGCCACCGTCGCCCGCCCAGCCTCCGCCCGGTGAGGGACTGACGGGACGGCGGGCCCTGGGCGGGGTGAGGGCCGCGGAACTCCCAGCCTGGCTGGCTGGTCCTCGAGAGCGGACCCTCGGGGGTCGTGGGCAGAGGGCTGGGTGACCGTGGCAGGGGCCCGCCGGCTGCTCGGGCTCGCTCTCACCCGGGGAGCAGGAGTGTGGGGGAGGAGGAGCCGCGGACCGAGGCCCCGGGGTGTGCCTGGGGAGGGCAGCCGCGGGGAAGGGGAACTGCTTCGGCCCCAGGGTGGGGCTGGCTCCCGGGCCAGGCGCAAGGGTAGGGCAGGGCAAGGCAACGTGGGGACAAAGAGCTGAGGGAGATGTTGGCACTGCGGGGGCATCACTTGGCAGCGGCGCCCAGAATGAATCCGATAATCCTACAAGTGGCTTTTAGGCTGGAAACGTTTCCTGCCGTGTTGGAGAGCCGGGTTTGGCCGTGCTCCCCTGGTGGCCTTTGGTAGGAAGTCACCACATACTGGCCGGGAGGGATGGAGACACCCTCAGGAAACCGGTCAATTTTTTCCTTTCTTGGGCATTTTTCCAAAATCTTTGTACCGTTCTCTTCCCCCGTGGAGGACGAAGGTGGTGAACTAAGTGCTAGAAGAAATAGTGGTAGCAGAAAGCCTTCAGTGACCAGCCCAACCCAGTTTAAGGCGATGCCTGGCTATGTGCAAGAGATCTAAGCGTCCAGAAGACTGTCCGCCGTTAGAGAGTTCTGGTTTTCAAAGTGTTTAGTGGAGGAAAGACATTTTATTCCACAAAATAAACCAGAAGTGAGGCAATGGAAACAGACCCTTCCCTGTAAGTGACTGGAACTTCATTTTCCTTGGACTTAAACATTGTCGGTGTGTACTTCAGGGCGTCACCTTGCTCAGTAAGATGGGGCTGCGGGCTGAGTCTTCCTGGATATTGGGAACAGACTCTACGCCAAGAACATAAATTACCTGCGCTGGGTTTTCCTTGCCAGGGAGGGATCCCTGAGATTGACTGTCTTACCGATGCCGTTGGAGTTGATTTGGGACTGTTTTAAGGGAATAGATAGATGCCCTTAGTACTGGAGATTTGTGAGGTACAAAGTAATTCTGGGGTTCTCATTGTATGTGTACCTGTGTAACAGCATCAGGAGTCCTCGTGCCTTCACGCTGTTGCCAAGTCGAAGCAGTTTCTTCTTGGCCAGCTGAGAATGGGTTCAGACTAGTCTCATATGAATCAGGAAGCTCTTGAGCCGTCCTTTGTAGACTTGCCCTTGTAGAATAGTTCTAATTTAGATTTACTCGCTCCGGCCAGAAATAGAGAATTGGATAGGCAGTCTCTTTGTTAACACACACCAATTTTTATTTTACTCTTTTCTAAGACGGAGTCTTGCTCTGTCACCCACGCTGGAGCACAGTGGCGCAATCTCGGCTCACGGCGATTCTCCTGTCTCAGTCTCCCAAGTAGCTGGGATTACAGGCACCCGCCACCATAACCAGCTAATGTTGTATTTTTCGTAGAGACGAAGTTTCACCAGGTTGGCCAGGCTGGTCTCGAACTCCTGACCTCAGGTGATCCACCAGCCTCGGCCTCCCAAAGTGCTGGGATTACAGGCAAGAGCCACCGCGCCTGGCCAACACATACTAATTTTTTTAAAATTTTTCTTATTTATTTCTTACTTATTTATTTATTTTGAGACGGAGTCTCTCTGTCGCCCAGGCTGGAGTGCAGTGGCGCGATCTTGGCTCACTGCAACCTTTGCCTTTTGGGTTCAAGTGATTCTGCCTCAGCCTCCTGAGTAGCTGGGATTGCTGGTGTGCATCACCACCACGCCCAGCTAATTTTTTGTATTTTTAGTAGAGATGGGGTTTTACCAGGTTGGCCAGATTGGTCTTGAACTCCTGATCTCAGGTGATCCACTCGCCTTTGCCTCCCAAAATGCTGGGATTACAGGCGTGGGCCACCGCACCCAGCTTTGTTTGTTTGAGGCGGAGTTTCGCTTTTGTTGCCCAGGCTGGAGTGCGATGGTGCAATCTCAGCTCACTGCAATCTCTACCTCCCCGGGTTCAAAGGATTCTCCTGTCTCAGCCTCCCTAGTAGCTGGGATTACAGGCACACTCCACTACGCCTGGCTAGTTTTTGTATTTTTAGTAGGGTTGGGGTTTCGCCAAGTTGACCAGGCTGGTCTCGAACTCCTGACCTCAGGTGATCTGCCCACCTCAGACTCCCAAAGTGTTGGGATTACAGGCGTGAGCCACCACACCCAGTCTAACACAACCATTTTTTAAAAATGAGTATGGGGTCTATAAGCTCACAAATTATCCTAGATCTTTCTCATTGTGGCCTGTTTAATAGTATTATGAGATGGGAATATTGATGTACCTGTGTTGGCCCTGAACCAGATATATTCTACTTTGATGCCACCTGCATAGTATCTGGGGTTTTGCATTATATGTCGTCACATGATGGCAAACTGTCATTGAAACTCACTTTTCAGCCTTTTGTTTGTGTTTGTTGGTTGCCAAAGTTGAAAATGGCAGCAGGCAGGTTTGTTAGTTTGATATTTTTTCATATCTTAGCATAACGATTTTATGTCTCAACACTTACCGTGATAATCGAGCACCACCTTTTCAAAACAGATAAGAACTCAGTTCCTTGGCTGAGGAAAGACGGTGAAGATTGCCAAAGTTTATGGATGGGGTGTGGAAAATTCACGAGTATTGTGATAATTCTTTCTGCCATGTTGTACCCCATTTTCTACGATTCAGTTGCTGTCTTTTTCTCTCTTCTGAGACAGAGCCTCTGTCACCCAAGCTGGAGTGCAGTGGCATGAACACAGCTCACTGCAGCCTTGACCTCCTGGGCTCAAGCCATCCTCCCACTTCATCCTCCTGAGTAGCTGGGACTCCAGGCGTATCCACCATGCCTGGTTAACTGTTGAAAATTTTTTTGTAGAGATGAGGGGTCTCACGGTATTGTCCAGGCTGGTCTCAAATTCCTGATCTCAATAGACTTCATGCTTCAGGCTCCCAAAGTTTTGGAACTGCAGGTGTGAGCCACTGTGCCTGGTCAGTTGCTGTCTTTTTTTTTTTTTTTCTTTTTGAGACCGAGTTTTTACTCTTGTCTCCCACGCTGGAGCGCAATGGCGCGATATTGGCCCACTGCAACCTCTGCCTTCTAGGTTTAATCAATTCTCCTGCCTCAGCCTCCTGAGTAGCTGGAATTACAGGCGCCCACCACCATGCTCAGCTAATTTTTGTATTTTTTTAGTAGAGATGGGGTTTCACCATGTTGGCCAGGCTGGTCTCGAACTGCTGAACTCTGATCATCCACCCACCTCGGCCTCCCAAAGTGCTGGGATTACAGACGTGAGCCACCAGCGCCTGGCCTGTCTGTATAACCTCAGAATTACTTTGTACCTCACAAATCTCAAGTACTAAGTACTGAATCTTTGTTCTCCCCCTCACCAAGTCCTTTTGAAGTCACACAGAGAAATTTCTTGAATTTTTTAGAGAGGCGTATAGAATATTAATAACTAATGTTTATTGACTGGTTATTCTGTGCCAGGTACTTTGAGTACTTTATGTACCTTATTTCACTTACTGTCTAGGACAATCTAGTGAGATAAGTAATATGATCTCCATTTATTAAAATATTCCCATTTTATACAGGAGGAAACACTCATAGATTCAGTAACTTGCTTAAGGTCACACAACTAATAAATGACTTTCAGAAGTTGAACCTAGGCATTCTGACCTGAGAGCTGACCCTTTTACACTACACTCTCAAAGCCAGCGTTCTTTTGGCATCTCAGCAGTGCACATAGAGGTCCGTATCCTCAATATCCTCAATACTTTGCCTCTGCCCTGGAGTCTAAGACTTGGTGTTTTTTGTTTTGTTGTTTTTGGATGGAGTTTCGCTCTTGCCCCCCGGGCTGCTACAGTGCAGTGGTGCAGTCTCGGCTCACTGAAACCTCTGCTTCCCAGGTTCAAGTGATTCTCCTGCCTCAGCCTCCCGAGTAGCTGGGATTACAGGCATGTGCCACTGTGCCCAGCTAATTTTTTTTTTTGTATTTTTAGTAGACACGGGGTTTCACCATGTTGGCCAGGCTGGTCTCGAACTCCTGACCTCAGGTGATCCGCCCACCTCGGCCTTGTGTTTTTTGTTTTTTTTTCCCCCCACTATGTTGCCCAAACTGGAGTGCAGTGGCTGTTGACAGGCACAGTCATAGTGCACTACAGCCCTTAACTTTGGGGCAGGCAGCCCTTCTGACTCAGGCTGTGAGTAGCTGGGACTACAGGCACATACAGCCGCATCCAGCCCAGGTTTTTTAAAGACCAGAATTAAAGAATGGCAAGAAGAGGCCGGGCGCAGTGGCTCATGCCTGTAATTCCAGCACTTTGAGAGGCCAAGGAGGGTGGATCACTTGAGGTCAAGAGTTCGAGACCAGCCTGGCCAACATGGTGAAACCTTGTTTCTACTAAAAAATACAAAAATTAGCTGGGCGTGGTGGCGGACGCCTGTAATCCTAGCTGCTGGAGAGGCTAAGGCACGAGAATCGCTTGAACCCCGGAGGCAGAGGTTGCAGTGAGCTGAGATCGTGCCACTGGCTTTATTATTCAGACAATACACATCTGCTATCTAAAGTCAATGATGAAGAAGCTTTTTAAAATTGTTATTGCTTTTTTTTTTTTTTTTTTTGAGACAGTTTCTCGCTCTGTCACCGAGGCTGGAGTATAGTGGCACGACCTCGGCTCACTGCAAGCTCCGCCCCGTGGGGTTCATGCCATTCTCCTACCTCAGCCTCCCGAGTAGCTGGGACTACAGGCGCCCGCCACCACGCCCGGCTAATTTTTTGTATTTTTAGTGGAGATGGGGTTTCACCGTGTTAGCCAGGATGGTCTCGATCTCCTGACCTTGTGATCTGCCTGCCTCGGCCTCCTAAAGTGCTGGGATTACAGGTGTGAGCCACCGCGCCCGGCCTATTTGTTTTGTTTTGTTTTGTTTGAGAGGGAGTTTCGCTCTTGTTGCCCCGTCTGGAGTGCAGTGGCGCGATCTCAGCTCACTGTACCCTCCACCTCCTGGGTTCAAGCAGTTCTCCTGCCTTAGTCTCCCAAATAGCTGGGATTACAGGCATGCGCCACCATGCCCAGCCAATTTTTTTGTATTTTTAGTACAGACGGGGTTTTGCCACGTTGTCCAGGCTGGTCTTGAACTCCTGGCCTCAAGTGATCCGCTCGCCTCGGCTTCCCCAAAGTGCTGGGATTACAGGTGTGAGCCATCGCATCTAGCCTACAGAGTATATTTTGTTTACACAGTGCATAGGTGAAAATTATATGGAATGGCTTAGGTGTCATTTTTATGTGTTTTTTTTCTTTTTTTGAGACAGAATCTCGCTCTGTCGCCCACGCCGGGCCGGAGGGCAGTGGCGCGATCTCGGCTCACTGAAAGCTCCGCCTGCCGGGTTCACGTCATTCTCCTCCCTCAGCCTCCTGAGCAGCTGGGACTACAGGCGCCCGCCACTATGCCCGGCTAATTTTTTGTATTTTTAGTAGAGAGGTGTTTCACCGTGTTAGCCAGGATGGTCTTGAGCTCCTGACCTCGTGATCCGCCCACCTTGGCCTCCCAAAGTGCTGGGATTACAGGCCTGAGCCACCGCGCCTTATTTTTTAAACTTTATTTATGTTTTGAGACAGAGTCTTGCTCTGTTGCCCAGGCTGGAGTGCAGTGGGACGATCTCAGCTCACTGCAACCTCCCCCTCCCGGGTCAAGCCATTCTCCTGCCTCAGCCTCTTGAGTAGGTAGCTGGGATTACAGGCATGCGCCACCACTCCCAGCTAATTTTTTTGTATTTTTAGTAGAGATGGGGGTTTCACCATGTTGGCCAGGCTGGTCTCGATCTCCTGACCTCAAGTAATCCACCTGCCTTGACCTCCCAAAGTGTTAGGATTACAGGCGTGAGCCACCGTGCGCAGCTGGGTATTATTTTTAAAGGCATGGGTACAGAATGGGCCAGTGATTCTCAGCCTTTTCCGTTGAACCTGTTTTTAACTTGTCTTGGGTCCTCAGCTTGCATAGGCTTCCTGTGGTGCCATAGCTTGGGAGTTCCCTGGGGCCATAAGGAAGGGCTTGGCCAAGTCTACTGGTCACATTCTGTCAGGTTGGGCTTCAAGATGGACCTCCTTGGAATGCTTGCAAGAAACTAGTTTTTTTTCTCTTGAACAGCTAAACCTTTCAGGTTGACACAGCTGAAGGAGTGTGAGTTAGGAGAGTCGTTATAAGCTTGAGCTGTGGATCCTGGGTTGGGCCTTATTTACCTACCACTTACTGCTTGTGTAACTTTGGGCAAATTGTTTAACTTTTCCCTGCTTCAGTTTCCTCATCTGTGAAGGAGGGAAATAGTAATACTGATCTCATAGGGTTGTTGGAATGATACTCCATATTCAGTACTGGCATACTAAGTACTCCATAAGCATTTCATGTATACGAATCTTAATAACATAACTGAGGTGTGGGGGCTTTTGAAGCAAAATGGAAAACTTCTTATCTTTGAGAGGCTGTGGAATTCATGCTGTGGATGGTAGGAACTGGTGAAACAGTTTGTCTTGGGGAGTAGGTGCCTGGGTGGAGTGCATCCGTAAGTGTGAAAGGACCTCGGGTCCAGCACTTGGAAATAAGATGGTGCCTCCTGTTACCTGCTCATCCGACCTGTTGCGCTAGTGGGTGGAGGGGGGCATAAAACGTGCTTCATTTTGAAGGCGTGGGACAGAAGCTAGGGTGGTAATAGTTTGTGATACTCCCTCGAGGTAGTGAAGAGCTACATGCCAGGCTGGCAGCTGGGCCAAGCCACTTCTGGAGGTAGCGTGAGACTGCTGATGGCCCTGTTGCTCAGGCTGGTGTGCAGTGGCTCCGTCATAGCTCACTACAGCCTCACTGTATGACCCAGGCTGGGCTTGCACTCCTGGCCTCAACAGATGTCTCCCTAAAGATTGGTTAATCAGTTTTTAAAAATAGAGAAAAAAATAAAGAGATCCTCCTGCCTCAGCCTCCCAAAGTGCTGAGATTACAGGTGTGAGCCACCGCACCTGCCTGACCACAGAACTTTTGAGAAGCATCTTGAGATCCTGTGGAATTTTCTCTGGGAAACGGTCCAGTGGGCTCTGGATTTGAGGATGAATTGAAAATTGCTGAAGGAATTTGGAGAATTGGTTGCTTTTTATTGAGCACCTATAATGTACGAGCCACTTTTTCTTTTTTTTTTTTTTTTTTTTTTGAGATGGAGTCTTGCTCTCACCCAGGCTGGAGTGCAATGGCATATTCTCGGCTCACTGCAAGCTCTGCCTCCCAGGTTCAGGCAGTTCTCCTGCCTCAGCCTCCCCAGCAGCTGGGACTACAGGCGTGCACCACCATGCCCAGCTAATTTTTGCATTTTTAGTAGAGATGGGTTTCACCATGTTGATCAGGCTGGTCTTGAACTCCTGACCTCAGTGATTTGCCTGGCTCTGCCACCCAAAGTACTGGGATTACAGGCGTGAACCCCCACGCCCAGCCTCTAGCCACTTTAGGAACTTTATTTATTAGATAGGTATTTGACCCCATTTTGCAGAGTCGGGGGTGAGGCACACAGAAGTTAGGTAACTCAGACAGCTAGAAAATGAGAGCCACAATGCACCAAACCTGCAAAGGACCGTCCTCATACCCACCATCTTTAGAACATTCTATTTGCTTAGGAGACCATATATCTTCTCAGATGGAAACCAGTGGCCTTCTGTCGCCCAGGCTGGAGTGCAGTGGCGCGATCTCTGCTCACTGCAAGTTCCGCCTCCCGGGTTCAAGCGATTCTCCTGCCTCAGCCTCCCGAGCCAGTGGCCTTTTTAGCGTTTTGTATTGGTGGGTATTTATCTAAGCAACCCCTGTAAATACCACAGGCAGAGAAGGAAGGGAGGGAGCAAGAATTGAGGAAAAAAGGGAAAAGAGGGCCGGGTGTGGTGGCTCGCGCCTGTAATCCCAGCACTTTGGGAGGCTGAGGCTGGCTGATCACTTGAGGTCAGGAGTTCGAGACCAGCCTGGCCAACATGGCAAAACCCTGTCTTTCCTAAAAATACAAGAATTAGCCAGGTGTGGTGGTGGGCGCCTGTAATCCCAGCTACTCGAGAGGCTAAGGAAGGGAGAATTGCTTGAACCCAGGAGGCAGGAGGCAGAGGTTGCAGTGAGCTGAGATCGCACCACTGTACTCCAGCCTGGGCAACAGAGGGAGACTCCGTCTCAAAAAAAAAAAAAAAAAAAGGAAAAGAGAAAGTGCTGTGAGATCAAGGAGAGCCTGGCCCGCTCTTGTAGACCCGTCAGAAGTGATTGGGCCTATTTTAGCCCACAGAGCCCTCAGGTGTTCTTCATGAAACCTTCAGGGAGGGAGTGGCCTTGTAAAAATGGTCGTAACCTGAGGCTTGAAATGCTTGGAAGGCTTAGAAGTAACGGGCTGAGCAGGTACCGAGAAGCTGAAAGGATATCCTCTCCTTGCATTGATTTTGATTTCCGTTTGTGTGACTTCCTAACTCCACGTTCAGAATCCAGCACAGGGTGATGTAGAACAAGTCATTGAGGTTTTCCAAGTCCCAGATAGCTATGAGAATCCTGTCGTTGCTTCTGTTCTCTAGACTGGCTGACTGTGCCTCCTTCCTTTCCCGCCCTTCTATTTCCTGCCTTTGGCTGTTTGTGGTTGGAAGGAGAGGAAAGAGAGAAAAGGAGCCGGAACACACAGCCATGGTGAGGTTTGGGCTTATCTGGGACTTATGTGTGTTCTGTTCTCCTCCCTTCCTTCTGGAGTTTGGATCAATGAAGCTTGATGGCCCCCAGCAGTTCACAGAAACGGGCATTTCTCTGTGAAATTATTACAGTGTCAGAATAGAAAAATAATTTATAAGTAAAGTACATCAAAGGTTTTCCGTGGCGTTTTGCTTACGTTTCTGTGTCTATTGGGATTGCCAAACAAAAAGAAAGTCACGGCCGGGCGTGGTGGCTCACGCCTGTAATCCCAGCACTTTGGGAGGCCGAGGCGGGCGGATCACGAGGTCAGGAGATCGAGACCATCCTGGTTAACACGGTGAAACCCCGTCTCTACTAGAAATACAGAAAAAAAAACCCGGGCGTGGTGGCGGGCACCTGTAGTCCCAGCTGCTCGGGAGGCTGAGGCAGGAGAATGGCGTGAACCCAGGAAGCGGAGCTTGCAGTGAGCCGAGATGGCGCCACTGCAGTCCAGCCTAGGCGAAAGAGCGAGACTCCGCCTCAAAAAAAAAAAAAAAAAAAGTCATAGTGAGCCCAGTTCACGCTATTGTGGCATTTGACCAAGAAGAGAATTAAACCTGCTTCCTACCTTTGCGCCAGATGATCTGCCAAGTTTTCTCTCACTCATCTTTCAGAGCGACTTGGCTTAGTAGTCTCATTTGTTCTTTCCCCGCCAAAATGTATTTCGCTCGGCCTGCTATGGTAACAGTGGCTGGCAGGGGGTGGTTACCTTCCTTCTTCCAGTGGAGAGAGTACCTTGGAAGTGTTCACAGATGGTCGTAGTTGCTCATGGCGATTCTGTTGTATCTCAGGACACAGTGCGTTATTCCAACTGTCTTTAGCAGGAACATAGATCCAGGTGAAGGTGAAAGCCGGGTGGGAGGTTGTCTTCCTAAGACGTGCCGCTTTCTCCTTGTTCACCAGCCACACTGTGCTTGCTGTGTTATCTCCAACAATGCTGTGAACTTCTCTGAGCTTCTCCAGTCTAGGAAGGCATTGTGCTTAGCTTCTTTCCATCACTTCAGAGTTAGGCTTATTAAGATAATATCTGGCTGGGCGCGGTGGCTCATGCCTGTCATCCCAGTACTTTGGGAGGCCGAGGCAGGCAGATCACAAGGTCAAGAGATCAAGACCATCCTGGCCAACATGGTGAAACCCCATCTCTTCTAAAAATATAAAAATTAGCAACACTTAACTGAGCACTGACCTGCCAACCACTGTCCCAAAAGGACAACTAATAGAACACCTTGGCATGTAGTTGGGTAAACCTTAGCAAGGGAGCTTTTCTCCACCCAGCTGTGATCAGAACCATTTCTAAGCCATGGGTGCCCAGGTGGCCTCCTTACCACTCTGCCCTAGAGTTTTCTTGACCAGGCAGTGCTAAGTAGGTCCCTATGCGCTCACACTGACCCTGTCCTAAACAGTTTCTCCATAGGCCTGAAAGATCACCCAGAATTAGCCTAATGGTGATAGGCAAGGTAGCCATGAATCTCCTTGACTACCAGACTTGAATAGGAATTATTCTCCATCAGTGATCCTCCTCAATAAAGAGAATCTCCAGAATATAGCACCTCCGTGCTCTGCTACAGTCATAACCAAAATCCCCTCTCCAGTCCTGCCCTCGGAACTTTTGCGATCATCTTCTATTGGTGCATGAGGAGTGTTTGCCATAGAGGACAGTCCTGGCACTCGCACCCCTTTCAGTGTCTTAAATTGGAGAGACAGCCAGTATTCCTGAGTCTGGGCTGTTCACTGTTTTAAGCTGACAGCTGTGAATTCCACAGGTGGACTTTGGGTAATATGAAAAATGTACGGCTCTCCTTCAGATGGTCTCATCATTCATTTGGATGGAAAGAGAAGGCACTCATCAGTACTCTTTCTACCGGAAGGACTTTTCATTGGCTTCCAAAGTTAACATTGTGTCTTATTACCTCTCTCCAATAGTGGAATGATTTTTTTTTTTTTTTGACGGTGTCTCGCTCTGTCGCCCAGGCTGGAGTACAGTGGCGCGATCTTGGCTCACTGCAAGCTCTGCCTCCCAGGTTCATGCCATTCTCCTGCCTCAGCCTCCCGAGTAGCTGGGACTACAGGCGCCCGCCACCATGCCCGGCTAATTTTTTGTATTTTTAGTAGAGACAGGGTTTCACCATGTTAGCCAGGGTGGTCTGGATCTCCTGACCTCGTGATCCGCCTGCCTCGGCCTCCCAGAGTGCTGGGATTACAGGCATGAGCCATCGTGCCTGGCCCCTATGCCATTCTTTTTTTTTTTTTTTTCTTTTGAGATGGAGTTCTGCTCTTGTTGCCCAGGCTGGAGTGCAATGGTGCGATCTCAGCTCACCGCAGCCTCCACCTCCCGGGTTCCAGCGATTCTCCTGCCTCAGCCTCCCAAGTAGCTGGGATTACAGGCATGAGACTCACGCCTGGCTAATTTTGTATTTTTTTTTTTAGTAAAGACGGGGTTTCTCCATGTTGGTCAGGCTGCTCTCGAACTCCCGATCTCAGGTGATCCCCCCCCCCGCTTCGGCTTCCCAAAGTGCTGGGATTACAGGCCTGAGCCACCACGCCCAGCTTTTTTTATTTTTTTAATTGAGACAGGCTCTCCCTCTGTTACCCAGGCTGGAGGGCAGTGGCGCAGTCTTGACTCACTGCAGGCTCCGCCTCCCAGGTTCAAGCAATCCACCTCAGCCTCCGAAGTAGCTGGGACTAAAGGCGCGCACCACCCTGCCTGGCGTTTGTATTTTTTTCGGTAGAGATGGGTTCTTACTGTGTGTTAGCCAGGATGTTTCTAACATTGAACGAAATAATTAGGTCTTTAGCTGGGCGTGGTGGTGCACACCTATGGTCCCAGCTACCCAGGAGTCTGAGGCAGGAGGATGACTCCAGGCCAGGAGTACAAGGCCACAGTGTGCAGTGATGGTGTCTGTGCATAGCTACTGCAGTTTAGCTTGGGCAGCAAAAACCTGCTCTCAAAATTAACAAGACCAGGCACGGTGGCTCATGCCTATAATCCCAACACTTTGGGAGGCCAAGGGGGAAGAGGATTACTTTGAGCTCAGGAGATCAAGACCTGCCTGGGCGACATGGCAAAACCCCGTTATTAAAAAAAAAAAATAGGCCAGGCGGGGTGGCTCACGCCTGTAATCCCAGCACTTTGGGAGGCCGAGGCGGGCGGATCACAAGGTCAGGAGTTCAAGACCAGCCTGGCCAATATGGTGAAACTCCATCTCTACTAAAAATACAAAAAAATTAGCCGGGCGTGGTGGCGGGTGCCTATAATCCCAGCTACTTGGGAGGCTGAGGCAGGAGAATTGCATGAACCCAGGAGGCAGAGGTTGCATTGAGCCGAGATCCTGCCACTGCACTCCAGCCTGGGCAACAGAAAGAGACTCCATCTCAAAAAATAAAAAAAAGTGGGGCTGGGCGCGGTGGCTCACGCCTGTAATTCCAGCACTTTAGGAGGCCGAGGTGGGTGGATCACGAGGTCAGGAGATCGAAACCATCCTGGCTAACATGGTGAAACCCCGTCTCTACTAAAAAATACAAAAAAAAATTAGCCGGGCGTGGTGGCGGGCGCCTGTAGTCCCAGCTACTTGGGAGGCTGAGGCAGGAGAATGGCGTGAACCTGGGAGGCAGAGCTTGCAGTGAGCCAAGATTGCACCACTGCCCTCCATCCTGGGCAACAGTGAGACTCTGTCTCAAAAAAATGATAATAAAGTAAAAATAAAAAATACAAAAATTAGCTGTGTGTTGGTGGGTGGCTTGTGCCTATAGTCCCAGCTATTTGGGAGGCTGAGACTGTAGAATTGCTTAAGCCTAGAAAGTGGAGGCTGCGGCCGGGTGCAGTGGCTCACACCTGTAATCCCAACACTTTGAGAGGCTGAAGTCGGTGGGATCACCTGAGGTCAGGAGTTCGAGACCAGCCTTGCCAACGTGGTGAAACCCCCATCTCTACTAAAAATATAAAAAATTACCTTGGTGTCGTGGTGGCCGCCTGTAATCTCAGTTACTTGGGAAGCTGAGGCAAGAGAATCACTTGAACCCAGGAGAGAGAGGTTGCAGTGAGCCAGGATCGCACCACTGCACTCCAGCCTGGGCAACAGAGCAAGAGTCCGTCTCAAAAAAAAAAAAGAAAGAAAGGGAGGTTGCTGTGAGCTGAGTTTGCGCCACTGCACTCCAGCCTGGACAGCAGAGTGAGACCCTGTCACATACCAGGCACAGTGGCTCACGCCTGTCATCCCAGCACTTTTGGAGGCCAAGGCGGTCAGATCACTTGAGGTCAGGAGTTTGAGACCAGCCAGGCCAACATGGTGAAACTGTGTCTCTACTGAAATTACAAAAATTAGCCAGGCATGGTGGCACACACCTGTATCCCAGCTACTTGGGGCGCTGAGGCAGAAGAATTGCTTGAACACAGAGGGTGGAGGTTGCAGTGAGCCGACATCCAGCCACTGCACTCCAGCTTGGGAGACAGAGCAAGACTCTGTCTTCAAAAAAAAAAAAAAAAAAGACCCTTTCACACACAAGAAAAATCCCAATAAGCAAATAATTAAAATTAATAATGGCTGGATGCAGTGGCTCACATATAATTAAAATTAATAATAGGCTGGATGCAGTGGCTCACATCTGTAATCTCAGTACGGCACTGGCTCACATCTGCAATCTCAGTACTGCAGTGGTGCACATCTGCAATCTCAGTACTCTGGGAGGCCAAGGTGGGCCGATCACTTGAGCCCAGGAGTTTGAGACCAGCGTGGGCAACATAGCAAAACCCCATCTCCACAAAAAATACAAAAACTGGCCAGGTGTGGTGTGCGCCTATAGTCCCAGTTGCTCAGGAGGCTGAGGTGGGAGGATTACTAGAGCCTAGGAAGTGGAGGCTGCAGTGAGCTGAGATTATGCCACTGCACCCCTGCCTGGGTGACAGAACAAGACCCTGTCTCAAAAAAAAAAAAAACAGGCCGGGCGCCCTGGCTCACACCTCTAAACCCAGCACTTTCGGAGGCAGAGGCAAGTGGATCTCTGGAGCTCAGGAGTTCAAGACCAGCCTGGGCAACATGGTGAAACCCTGTCTCTACAAAAAATACAAAAAAAAATACAGGCATGGTAGTGCATGCCTGTAGTCCCAGCGACTTGGGAGGCTGAGGTGAAAGAATGGCTTGAGCCCAGGAAGTGGAGGTTTCAGTGAGCCAAGATCATGCCACTGCACTCCAGCCTGGGCCACAGAGCCAGACCCTATCTCAGAAAACAAAAACAAAACCGCAGCCTGGGCAGTAAAGCAAGACACTGTCTCTATAAAAAAAATTTCAAAATCAGCTGGGTGAAGGGCCGGGCACAGTGGCTCACGCCTGTAATCCCAGCACTTTGGGAGGCCGAGGTGGATGGATCACGAGGTCAGGAGTTGTAGACCAGCCTGGCCAAGATGGTGAAACCTTGTCTCTACTAAAAATACAAAAATTAGCCGGGTGTGGTGGCGCGGGCCTGTAGTCCCAGCTACTCGGGAGGCTGAGGCAGGAGAGTTGCTTGAACCCGGGAGGTGGAGGTTGCCGTGAGCCAAGATGGCTCCAGTGCACTCCAGCCTGGGTGACAAGAATGTGACTCCATCTCAAAAAAAAAAATCAGCTGGGTGCAATGCCACCCGCACCTTTAGTCCCAGCTACTCAGAAGGCTGAGGTGGGAGAATATCTTGAGCCCAGGAGTTTGAGACTGCGGTGAGCTGTGATCACACTACTGCACTCCAGCTTGGACAACAGAGTTAGACCCTGTCTCTAAAAAGAAATAACAAAATCATGTACTCAGGAGACTAAGGTGAGAGGATCGCTGGACCCAGGAGTTTAAGATGAGCCTGGGCCACATAGGGAGTCTCCTGTCTCAAAAAACAAAGCCAAGGCCAGGCGTGGTGGCTCACGCCTGTAATACTAGCACTTTGGGAGGCCAAGGCAGATGGATAACTTGAGCTCAGGAATTCGAGACTGGCTTGGGCAACATGGCGAAATCCCATTACTACAAAAAATTAGTTGGGCGTGGTGATGCGTGCCTGTAGGCCCAGCTACTCAGGAGGCTGAGGTAAGAGGATGGCTTCAGCCTGGGAGGTAGAGGTTGCACTCAGCTGAGGTCTGCACTCCCGCCTGGGTGACAGAGCCAGACCACTCTGTCACAAGACAACAACAAAGCCAAAAACTCACAAAACTCATTTGGATTTTAGGTTTTTTGAGACAAGGTCTCTCTCTTTTGCCCAGGCTGGAATGCAGTGGCATGATCACGACTCACGGTAGCCTTGACTCCCTGGGCTCAGGCGATTCTCCCACCTCAGCTTCTCGAGAAGCTGGGACTAACAGACATGCACCACCTTGCCTGGCTAATGGTTTTTTTGTTTGTTTGTTTGTTTGTTTTTGAGACGAAGTCTCGCTCTCCTGTCCTCATGATCCACCCGCCTCGGCCTCCCAAAGTGCTGGGATTACAGGTGTGAGCCACGTGCCCGGCTTGTTTTTTGTTTTTTTAGGAGATTGGGTCTCACTTTATTGCCCAGGCTGGTCTTGAACTACTGGCCTCAATCAGTCCTCCTGCCTTGGCCTCCCAAAGTGCTGGGATTACAGACGTAAACCACTGTGCCCAGTCATTTTTTTTCAAACATTTATTTTTTCTTTTTTTAAGAGTCAAGGTCTTGCTCGGTCCCCCAGGCTGGAGTGCGTTGACACGATCATGGCTCAGTGTACTCACAAACTCCTAGGCTCAAGCGATCTCTCACCTCAGCCTCCCAAGTAGCTGCAACTGCAGGCATGCACCACTATGCCTGGCTAATTTTTTTTTTTTTTTTGAGACAGAGTCCCGCTCTGTCGCCCAGGCTGGAGTGCAGTGGCGCGATCTCGGCTCACCGCAAGCTCTGCCTCCTGGGTTCATGCCATTCTCCTGCCTCAGCCTCCCTAGCAGCTGGGACTACAGGTGCCCACCACCACGCCCAGCTAATTTTTTGTATTTTTAGTAGAGACGGGGTTTCACCGTGTTAGCCAGGATGGTCTTGATCTCCTGACCTTGTGATCCACCTGCCTCAGCCTCCCAAAGTGCTGGGATTACAGGCGTGAGCCACCGCGCCTGTCCAACCTGGCTAATTTTTAAATAATTTTTGTAGTGATGAGGTCTTGGCTGTGTTGCCTACGCTGGTCTCAAAATCCTGCACTTAAGTGATCCTCCCACCTCAGCCTCCTAAAGTTCTAGGATTACAGGTGTGAGGCACCACGCCCAACAAAATTCATTTTCTTTTTTTTGTTTGTTTGACACAGAGTCTTGCTCTGTTGCCCAGGCTGGAGTGCAGTGGCGTGATCATGGCTCACTGTAGCCTTGACCTTCCAGGCTCAAGCCATCCCCCTACCTGAGTGTCCTGAGTAGCTGGGACTACAAAAGTGTGCCACCATGCCCAGCTAATTTTTTAAGTTTTTTGCAGTGACAGCCATGTTGCCCGGGTTGGTCTTGAACTCCTGAGCTCCAGGGATCCACCTGCCTCAGCTTCCCTAAGTGCTGGGGTTAGAGATGTGAGCAACCGTGCCCAGCTAAAACTCATTCTCTATGGAGAATGTTTACTAGTTGTTATTATTAGAGAGTTGTTTATTACTTCTTCAGGAAACCATAATGTGAAAAATCCAATGAAAATAGTTTGCTGTTTTGGGTGCTTAGCCGAGTGGGAGTTAAAGGTTTGCATTCCTAATTAGAAACTTTGTGGCCGGGTGCAGTGGCCCACACCTGTAATCAATCCCAGCACTTTGGGAGGCCGAGGCGGGTGGATCACTAGGTCAGGAGATCGAGACCATCCTGGCTAACACGGTAAAACCCCGTCTCTATTAAAAATACAAAAAAAATTAGCCAGGCATGGTGGCGGGTGCCTGTAGTCCCAGCTACTCGGGAGGCTGAGGCAGGAGAATGACGTGAACCCGGGAGGCGAAGCTTGCACTGAGTCGAGATTGTGCCACTGCACGCCAGCCTGGGGGACAGAGCGAGACTCCGTCGTGGTGTCCCACACCTATGATCCCAAAACTTGGGGAAGCCGAAATCCTAACAATCCCGGGAGTTCACCAGTCTGGGCAACGTGGTGAAACCCCATCTCTACAAAAAATACAAAAATTAGCCGGGCGTGGTGGCGTGTGCCTGTATTTGAAGCTATTCGTGAGGCTGGGTGGGAGGCTTGCTTGAGGCTGAGGCTGCAGTTAGCTATGATCATGCCACTGCACTCCAGCCTGCGTGACACAGCAAAACCCTGACTCATTTTTTTTTTTTTAAAGAAACTTTGACTCTTGTTTGAATTTACTCGTTTTGTTTGACTGTGTTCATTTATTTTCCTTGAGTTTTAGAATCTCAGCATAGAATAAATCCATTCTGAACTATGGTATGTAGGGCCACCATACACACTCGTGTCTTAGGAATTTTAAGCGTTTGTAATATGTTCTTTCTCTGGATCCTCAGTGTGTTATCAGATGTTGAGTGTTTTAACCCTTTATTTCCCCAAGCATTTTTTTTTTAATGACCTGTTTGCTTCATAGCGAACAGTCTAGTTTCTGTTTTATTTACGATCTCGGGAATTGATTTTTAAGCAGTTAGCCCCTTAGTTTTTCAGTTCAGCTTCTTGGTTCTTTTACCTTTTAGCTGTCAAAGATAAAATTGAGATCACCTATCTTAGATTTAAAAAGATACCAGAGGCCAGGCACTGTGGCTCATCCCTGTAATCCCAACACTTTGGAAGGTTGAGGCCGAAGGATTGCTTGAGCCCAGGTGTTTGAGACTAGCCTGGGCAACATAGTGAAACCCCATCTCTACAAAATATTTAAAAATTACCCAGATATGGTTGAGCGTGCCTGTAGTCCCAGCTGCTCAGGAGGCTGAAGTGGGAGGATTACTTGAGCCTGGGAGGTCAAGGCTGCAGTAAGCTGTGATTGTGCCACTGCACTCCAGCTTGAGCGACACAGCGAGACTCTGTCCCAAAAACAACGAAAACCACAACAAGAGATAGTTTTTCTTCTTCGGAATTATACATTCTAGATGTGAAGAGAAAAAATGTGTGAGCTCAGTGCAGACACAAGCTCTCTCCACCTTCTGAACAGCAGCAGGGACCCATGAAAAACAAGAGCTTGCTACATTTCCTGAGGTTGAAAAGTAGATGCAGGCCAGGCGCAGTAGCTCACACCTGTAATCCCAGCACTTTGGGAGGCTGAGGTGGGTGGATCACCTGAGATCAGGAGTTTGAGACCAGCCTGGCCAACATGGTGAAACCCCGTCTCTACTAAAAATACAAAAAAAAAAAAAAAAATTAGCTTGTCATGGTGGTGGGAGCCTGTAATCCTAGCTACTCAGGAGGCTGAGACGGGAGAATCGCTTGAACCCGGGAGGCAGAGGTTGCAGTGAGCAGAGATCACGCCACTACACTCCAGCCTGGGCGACACAGTGAGATTTGGTCTCAAAAAAAAAAAAACATGCAACAGAACCTTGAGGCTTACACTGCTCTGTAAATGGGGTAGCGACAGAACATATTTGGAGAATGCAGTGAAAGCCCCCGTCGTTGATCAAGTATGAGAGCACGTCCTGATCAGCCTAGTCTCCTGGCCTCCTCATCCTTCCCTGGGGCTGTAGTGATGGGCATCTTTCTTCCCAGGGGATGTTTCAGCTTCCAAATGTGATGTTGGTGTGCTGTGAAGAGAAGGGGTTATTTTTTCTAGAGTTTTTTTTGCTGATTAAATCTTGACTAAATGTGTATGAGGCATGCATGAAAGCTCCATTTCGGCCAGGCACAGTGGTGGGCTCCTGTAGTCCCAGCTACTCAGGAGTTTGTGGTGAGAGGATCACTTGAGCCCCGGAGGTCAAGACCAGCCTGGGTAACATAGTGAGATCCCAACTCTAAAAAAAATAAAAATAAAATCTGCATTTCATTTCCAGTGTAGTACATCATTAAATAACAGCCTGCTCTGTTTTTTCCAGGGGTGAGCCCCTCCAGACTCCGAATAGGAGATCAAGAGTTTGATTCATTGCCTGCTTTACTGGAATTCTACAAAATACACTATTTGGACACTACAACGTTGATAGAACCAGTTTCCAGATCCAGGCAGGGTAGTGGAGTGATTCTCAGGCAGGAGGAGGCGGAGTATGTGCGAGCCCTCTTTGACTTTAATGGGAATGATGAGGAAGATCTTCCCTTTAAGAAAGGAGACATCTTGAGAATCCGGGACAAGCCTGAAGAGCAGTGGTGGAATGCGGAGGACAGCGAAGGCAAGAGAGGGATGATTCCAGTCCCTTACGTCGAGAAGTATAGACCTGCCTCCGCCTCAGTATCGGCTCTGATTGGAGGTAACCAGGAGGGTTCCCACCCACAGCCACTGGGTGGGCCGGAGCCTGGGCCCTATGCCCAACCCAGCGTCAACACTCCGCTCCCTAACCTCCAGAATGGGCCCATATATGCCAGGGTTATCCAGAAGCGAGTCCCCAATGCCTACGACAAGACAGCCTTGGCTTTGGAGGTACATAACGTGCACAATGTAGAAAGAAGAGATCTGCTGCAGGGTCTCCTCTCGGTCCTCTTAGAGCTTTGTAGCAATGCTGACTACAGCATTGGGATGTTGTAGATGGCAAGCCGCTAAGCACTGATGTTGGCATTGAATGTTGGGTTTTCTCTTCTTCATAGAAAACCTGTTTGGGAATGAGTAAGCTTAAAACTGTATAACTGAATGTTCTTAATTGATCTACTAAACACACTTGGACTACTTTAATAACACCACCTGAATTCACAGGAATTAACCTCAAATGTTTTTCCTCATCTACATCCTCATCTGTTTCTTGCTTTCTGTTTGTCGTTGTCTAAAAGAAGGTGGGTTCAGATGGATTTGAGTGTAATAAGTGGTCTCTATCAAAGCACTTAAATGGAATTTTCCCGCAAAAACTTGTTTTTGCTTCAGGGGACTTGAAGTTCCTTACCACTAATGTTCATTGAGTAGAATCCGGGAGGAAATAGGCCTAGTAGAGGTTTGAAGAGATGCACACCCAGAAGTCCTCATTCCGAGGAGTGGCAGGTGCACGGGTCTTTCTAAATCATTCAAAAAGCCAGTTCTTCCTCAGGAATTAATTTTTGCCTTTACTGATGAAATATCTTTGGCAGCCCACTTCCTTCTGGCCAGCCATTACATGGTGTTAATTCCTTTATTCCTCTCTTCCACGCTCACACCTTGCTCTCCTACCTCCTTCCTTTCTTCTTCCTTCCTCCCTCTCTCCCTTCCTTTCTTTTCAGAAGAATTGATGGTTCAGTGTAAAAGCTAGTACAGACTGGGCACAGTGGCTCACACTTGTAATCCTAGTGCTCTGGGAGGCTAAGGCAGGAAGACCACTTGAGACCAGGTGTTCAAGACCAGTCTGGGAAACATAGACCTCAGCTTTTTTTAACAAAAAGTGAAAAAAAAAAATCACCAGGCGTGGTGGCATGCACCTGCAGTCCTGGCTTGAATGAGAAATGGAATGTATGTTGTCAGAGTTATCACTGCCTCTTGTTCCCATTCCCTGTTTGGAGGAAAATAGATTTCTACCCTCAGGTCTTCCTGTGAGTTCAGATGACGGTAACATCTGGCATGGTGCTGTGTGTATGATGGATCTTACTCCTTTTTATTTTCTTTTTTTTTTTTCCTCTCTGCTTTTTTTTATTTTTATCTGGCCTTACTGAGTCACTAGATGTAACTCTTGACATTTATTACAGACTTTATTAGCACTGGGTTGAAGTAAGTATGAAAACATGGAACAAAGGCTGGGCGTGTGGCTCATACCTGTAATCCCAGCACCTTGGGAGGCCGAGGTGGGCAGATCACTTGAGCTCAGGAGTTGGAGACCGGCCTAGGCAACATGGCAAAACACCATCTCTACAAAAAATTAGCTGGGCATGGTGGCACGTGCCTGTGGTCCCAGCTACTTGGGAGGCTGAGGAGGGAGGATCACCTGAGCCTGAAAGGTCATGGCTGAAGTGAGCTGAGATCATGACACTGCACTCCAGCCTGGGCGACAGGGTGAGACTCTGTCTCAAAAAAAGAAAAAGAAAAAAAGCCATGGAACAAGCCAGCTGACCCAGGAGAAACCAGTTATCATGTGAATTTTGCTTCTATTTGCATTTCCTTTCTCAGAGATTTAATCATGCCTGCCTTAATTAGAGGCTTTACTGCTCAAAAAAATGGTTGAGCTTCTCTACCTGCTGTGAAACACAAATCTCATTAAATAAAGATTTGAGTAGAAAACTAGTTTTATGATTTTAGTAAGTTTTCCTTTTTGATTTGGGTATTGGGTTTTTTTGGATTTTTTTTTTTTTTTTTGGTTCTTTTTGAGACGAAATCTCACTCCATCGCCCAGGCTGGGGTGCAATGGCACGATCTCGGCTCACTGCAACCTCCGCCTCCCAGGTTCAAGTGATTCCCCTGCCTCAGTCTCCTGAGTAGTTGGGATTACAGGCATACCCCATTGTGCCTGGCTAATTTTTGTATTTTTAGTAGAGACAGGGTTTCACCTTGTTGGCCAGGCTGGTCTCAAACTCCTGACCTCAGGTGATCCACCCGCCTCAGCCTCCCAAAGTGCTGGGATTACAGGTGTGAGCTGTCGTGCCTGGCCAATTTCTAGAAATGTCTTTATGTTGAGCTAAAACATATGTACTATGTGTGGTCACCGCTCATCAAGGGTATGGGGAGCTTAGCTTCAGGCATTATCAGTTGAGCTAGAGATCTTTGTGACTCACACCAGAACCAGGGTAAGGCCTATCTCCCAGGATTCTGTGGGATGTTTTTTCTGTTCATGTGGACTGTTAAATCTCAAACACTGGCAGCTTTCCACCAATACTACCCATGCCAGTTTCAGTCCATCTCTGATGCAGGTGAATTGTTAAGGCTGAATTGTCCTCATTTGTTTCCATCAATTTGAAAGACTGTCGATGGGCCCTAGATACACTACCTGTTACTTAGATCAGGGGTCTGCAAACCTTTTCTGTAAAGGTTTTTGAGGGCCTTAAATTCTGTGTCCCAACTCTGCCATTGTAGCAAGAAGGAAATCATAGATAAAACAACAGATGAGCTTGCTGTGTTCCAATAAAGCTGCAAAAACAACAGGCTGATGTTTGGCCAGGTGCTGTGACTTACGCCTGTAATCCCAGCACTTTCGGAGGCTGAGGTGGGAGGATCGCTTGAGTCCAGGTGTTTGAAACCAGCCTGGGCAACATGGTGAGATCCGGTCTCTACAAAAAATGTTTTTAAAAATTAGCCAGGTGATCTAAAAAAAAAAAAAAAAAAAAAACCATACATGCTGGGTGCGGTGGCTCACGCCTGTAATCTCAGCACTTTGGAAGGCTGAGGCAGGCAGATCACCTGAGATCAGGAGTTTGAGACCAGCCTGACCGATATGATGAAACCCTGTCTGTACTAAAAATACAAAAATTAGCCAGGCGTGGTGGTGGGCGCCTGTAATTCCAGCTACTCGGGAGGCTAAGACAGGAGAATCACTTGAACCCGGGAGGCAGAGATTTCAGTGAGCTGAGATCGTGCCATAGCACTTCAGCCTGGGCAACAAGAGTGAAACTCCATCTCAAAAAAAAAAAAAAAAAAAAAAAAAAGCCAGGCGTGGTGGTGTGCACCTGTGGTCTCAGCTGCTTGGGAGGCTGAGGTAGGAAAACTGCTTGAGCCTAGGAGGTTGGAAGAGAAGGCTCCTGTGCTGCCTCTCTGTACTTGCTCTTCCCTGGTTTTGTGTGTATGAATTTGTGTGTGCTTCCTGCCCTGAGCTCACTGAAAGCAAGTCTGGATCAAGGCATGTTAGCAGTCAGTGATGTGCTGCTGGTTGGTAGTAGGGACCTAGAAAAGCAGTCACCTGGGTTTGCGCCAGCAAAGAAAACCAGTTCTGTGATGTCCCCTGTGTAGTGAATTCCAAACATTGATACCATTTGGGTTCTGATTTTGTTCTCATTATCTCTGGAACGCATTGATCAGCTGGGTAATCTTTTGTTCCTGTACCAATTCTAGATCTGATTGCACCAGGATCGATTAGCCTTGAAAACGACACAGAGCTAGGGAATAGCCAGTGTTTGTTACGTTCCTTGGGAGCAAAGAAACTGTAGTAACCACATTCAGTCTTCTTTATGAATGACTCCATGATACAGCCGGGACTTGCTTCCTAAAAAAGTGAAGATGAAAGGATGCTTGTTATATTTTAGTCAACTTTTCTAGGTGTTTTGTGGATTGTGGTTCTTTAGGATATAGTCTTAAGTCCACCATTCTACTTGATAGCAAACTCTGTTTAAATACCTCAATCTTATATTGTCTTTGTTCTTCTTTTCTTTTTTTTTTTTTTTTGAGACGGAGTCTCGCTTTGTTGCCCAGGCTGGAGTGCAGTGGCGTGATCTCGGCGCACTGCAAGCTCCGCCTCCTGGGCTCATGCCATTCTCCTGCCTCAGCCCCCCAAGTAGCTGGGACTACAGGCGCCCGCCACCACGCCTGGCTAATTTTTTATATTTTTAGTAGAGATGAGGTTTCACCGTGTTAGCCAGGATGGTCTCGACCTCCTGACCTCGTGATCCACCTGCCTTCGCCTCCCAAAGTGCTGGGATTACAGGCGTGAGCCACCGCGCCTGGCCTTTTTTTTTTTTTTTTTTTAAGACAAGGTCTCACTCTGTCACCCAGGCTGGAGTACAGTGGCGTGATCTCACTCTGCCTCCTGGGTTCAAGTGATTCTCGTGCCTCAACCTCCCGGGTAGCTGGGATTACAGGCATCCACCACCACGCCTGGCTAATTTTTTTATTTTTAGTAGAGATGGGATTTCGCCACATTGGCCAGGCTAGTCTCAAACTCCTGGCCTCAAGCGATCCGCCTGCCTCAGCCTCCCAAAGTGCTGGGATTATAGGCATGAGCCACCCCGCCTGGCCTATGTTGTCTTTATTCTTAAACATTCAGAGTGCAGTCTCAAATCCCATCCCACAGAGCTGTAAGAAGCTCCTAAGAATGTGTTACAGGATGAGGAGGCTGAGGACCAGCCTGGACAGTAAAACAGTTCCTCTGTGGTGAGACTCATCAGTCTCTTTGCTGTAGTGAGGTCTCCCTCTTGGAAAGAAAGGTTAACTACCTTGTAGTACTTCAAGTCCTGTATGAAGTCTTTGTTGTTCATTGGTAATTCATATTAGGATTTTTCTTTCCTATTTATAACTTGAATTTTGAAATCAGTAGTGTTAGAACTACTGTTATTACTACATTCACTGATTAGTACATTCCTTTGTATTGTCAGATTGTAACAGTTCTGGGGCAAGCACTCGGTTTCACCTTTGTATTTGAAGTAGTACACCCTAGTCTGGTCAACATGGTGAAACCCATCATTACAAGAATTAGCCAAGTGTGGTGCACATGCCTGTAGTCCCAGATACTCTAGTGACTGAGATGGGAGGATGGCTTCAGCCTGGGAGGTCAAGGCTGGAGTGAGCTATGATTGCGCTACTGCAGTCCAGGCTAGGCGACAGAGTGAGACTCTGCCTCAAAAAAAACTAGTACACCAAGTTTCTTTTTTTTTTCTTTTGTATTTTTAGTAGAGATGGGGTTTCACTGTGTTAGCCAGGATGGTCTCGATCTCCTGACCTCGTGACCCACTCCCCTCTGCCTCCCAAAGTGCTGAGATTACAGGCGTGAGCCACCGCCCCGGTATGATACCCCTCACCTTCCCTGATCTGATCTTTGGGAATTATGCTTTAGTGAATTAACAGGTGGAAGCACAGTTCTGACTTTGTTTCTGAATTGGAGGAAGAACTGCATTTACTGGAGCAAAATGTTCTTAGAATGCCCCACCCCCTCCGGCCTTCTTCCTCTGCCCTCCTCCAGCCAGAGTCAGCAGCCACTCCTTCCTCCAGACTGTTAAAGACCTAAGGCCACATGTGGCACCACAGGAAGACCTGGTCTCTAAATATCATCATAGTGCCTTTGGGACCTCAGGAGCATTTTCATGTGCTCTAAACGTTTCAGGAGAAAGGCCCCAAAAAGCACAAAGGGTTAATTTGTTTGTTTGTTTGTTTGTTTGTTTTGAGACGGAGTCTCACTCTGTCGCCCAGGCTGGAGTGCAGTGCGTGATCTCGGCTCACTGCGAGCTCCGCCTCCAGGGTTCACGCTATTCTCCTGCCTCAGCCTCCCTAGCAGCTGGGACTACAGGCGCCTGCTACCACGCCCGGTTAATTTTTTTGTATTTTTAGTAGAGACGGGGTTTCACCGTGTTAGCCAGGATGGTCTCGATCTGCTGACCTCGTGATCCACCCACCTCGGCCTCCCAAAGTGCTGGGATTACAGGCATGAGCCACAGCGCCCGGCCATAGGGTTAATTTTAACAAGGTCTTCCTTGAGGTATTTTTACTTCAAAGCCACGTTGGTCAGGTTAATTAGCCCAATTGATTGCTTACAAATTTTCTTTATCCGTTTAAAAATCAGAATCAGGCTGGGTGTGGTGGCTCACGCCTGTAATCCCAGCACTTTGGGAGGCCAAGGCGGGCGGATCACGAGGTCAGGAAATGGAGACCATCCTGGCTAATACTGTGAAATCCCATCTCTACTAAAAAAAAAAAAAATACAAAAAATTAGCCGGACGTGGTGGCGGGCATCTGTAGTCCCAGGTACTCGGGAGGCTGAGGCAGGAGAATGGCGTGAACCCGGGAGGCGGAGCTTGCAGTGAGCCAAGATCGCGCCACTGCACTCCAGCCTGGGCGACAGAGCGAGACTCTGTCTCAAAAAATAATACTAATAATCAGAATGAGCCCAGGTACAGTGGTTCACGCCTGTAATCCCAGCACTTTGGGAGGTCGAGGTGGGTGAACTCTTCACCTGAGGTCAGGAATTCGAGACCAGCCTGACTAACATTTTGAAACTCCATTTCTATGAAAAAGACAAAATTAGCCAGGCGTGGGGGCACACGCCTGTAATCCCAACTACGTGGGAGGCTGAGGCAGGAGAATCACTTGAACCCGGGAGGTGGAGGTTGCAGTGAGCTGAGATTGTGCCACTGCACTCCAGCCTGGGCAACAAAAGCGAAACTCTGTCTTTAAAAAAAAAAAAAAATCATTTGAGTTATGGCATAGCCATTATCTCATCTCCGTATATTTGAACCTGTCTGCCAAAAACCTAATCATCTGTAAAGAAAAGATTCGTGTTTTTGGTTGTTTTTCTCTTTTTTTTTTTTGAGATCAGGCTTTGCTCTGTTCCCCAAGCAAGGGTGCCCAGTTGTAGCTCACTGCAGCCCCAAACTCCTGGGCTTGTGATCCCCCTACCTCAGCCTCCCAAGTAGCTGGGACTACAGGCACATTCCACTGTACCTGGCTAATGTTGTACTTTTAATTTTGTAGAAATGGAGTCTTGCTTTGTAACCTAGACTGATCTTGAACTCCTGGCTTCAGGCAATCTTCCTCCTGCTCGGGCCTCACAAAGCACTGGGATTATAGGTGTGAGCCACTGCGTCTGGCCTCTTTTTTTTTTTTTTAAGAGAGACAGAGTTTCACTGTGCTGCTGAGGAAGGCCTCAAACTCCTGGGCTCAGCTGGGCAAGGTGGCCCATGCCTATAATCCCAGCACTTTGGGAGGCCGAGTTGGGCAAATCACTTGAAGTCAGGAGTTGCATACCAGACTGTCCAATGTGGTGAAACCTGGTCTCCACTAAAAATACAAAAATTAACTGAGCATGGTGGCGGGCGCCTATAATCCCAGGTCCTTGGGAGCCTAAGGCACAAGACTCCAGGAGGCGGAGTTTGCAATGAGACAAGATTGTGCCACTGCACTCCAGCCTGGGTGAGAGATCAATACAGTGTCTCAAAAAGAAAAAAAAACCCTGGACTCAAGGGTTCCTCTCCCCTCAGTCTCCCAAGTAGCTGGGACTACAGGTGCAGGCCAGCGTACCCGGTGTAAAAAAAAAAGTTTTAGATTTTGGCATGGTTTTCCTCTGCAGGGTAGATCCAAGAGAATCTGGCTGGGCACGGTGGCTCACACCTGTAATCCCAGCACTTTGGGAGGCCAAGGTGGGCGGATCACCTGAGGTCAGGAGTTGGAGACCAGCCTGGCCAACATGGTGAAACCCCATCTCTACTAAAAATGCGAAAAAATTAGCCGGACGTGGTGGCGTGCGCCAGTAATCCCAGCTACTCAGGAGGCTGAGGCAGGAGAATCGCTTGAACCCAGGAGGCGGAGGTTGCAGTGAGCTGAGATTGCGCCACTGGACTCCAGCCTGGGTGACAAGAGTGAGGCTCCATCTAAAAAAAAAAGAGAGAGAATCTGTACATTAAAGATAGTTCTGAGCCGGGCGTGGTGGCTCACGCCTGTAATCCCAGCACTTTGGGAGGCTGAGGTGAGCAGATCACGAGGTCAGGAGTTCAAGACCAGCCTGGCCAATATGGTGAAACCCCATCTCTACTATAAATACAAAAATTAGCAGGGCGTGGTGGCACATGCCTGTAGTCCCAGCTACTCAGGAGGCTGAGGCAGGAGAATCACTTGAACCTGGGAGGCAGAGGTTGCAGTGAGCTGAGATCATGCCACTGTACTCTAGCCAGGGCAACAGAGTGAGACGCTGTCTCAAAAAAAAAAAAAAAAAAAAGATCTGATATGGTCCAAAGGTCTAATTTACACATAGTTCCTTTCCCCAATAACATCTTGCCTCATAGAAATCCCTACTCATTTATCCCTTAGAAGTCTGAAAGAAGGGCTGGCACGGTGGCTCACACCTGTAATCCCAGCACATTGGGAGGCCGAGGTAGGCAGATCATGAAGTCAGGAGATCGAGACCATCCTGCCCACCATGGTGAAACCCCATCTCTACTAAAAATACAAAAATCAGCTGGGCGTGGTGGCGGGCGCCTGTAGTCCCAGCTACTCTGGAGGCTGAGGCAGGAGAATCATTTGAATCCTGGAGGCGGAGGTTGCAGTGAGCCAGCATCGTACCACTGCACTCCAGCCTGGGTGACAAGAGCAAAAACTCCATTAAAAAAAAAAAAAAAAAAGTCTGAAAGAAAAGATCTGGAGGCACATTAGCAGGTTTTGCCCCACATTTTGAGAAATTGGTATGGTTCTGTGTTAACAGCAAGGGGTGGGGCTGGTCCACTTTTCAACCTACCCTTCACCTCTTAGAGCTTTGTGGGATGTGATTTGAGACTGCAGTATGAATGCTTAAGAATAAAGACAATATAGGCTGGGCGCGGTGGCTGATGCCTGTAATTCCAGCACTTTGGGAAGCCGAGGTGGGCGGGTCATGAGGTCAGGAGTTCGAGACAAGCCTGCCCAGCATGGTGAGACCCCGTCTCTACTAAAAATACGAAAAAAGTACTGGCTGGGCATGGTGGCTTGTGCTTGTCGTCCCAGCTACTTGAGAGCCTGAGGCAGGAGAATTGTTTGAACCTGGCAGGTGGAGGTTGCAGTGAGCCAAGATAGCGTCACTGCACTCCAGCCTGGGTGACAGAGTGAGACTCTCTCTCAAACAAACAAAAAGAATAAAGACAATATAACATTGAGGTATTTATTTATTTATTTGAGACTGAGTCTCGCTCTGTTACCCAGGCTGGAGTGCAGTGGCGTGATCTCGGCTCACTGCAAGCTCCGCCTCCTGGGTTCACACCATTCTCCTGCCTCAGCCTCCCGAGTAGGTGGGACTACAGGCGCCCGCCAGCACGCCTGGCTAATTTTTTGTATTTTTAGTAGAGACGGGGTTTCACCGTGTTAGCCAGGATGGTCTGGATCTCCTGACCTCATGATCTGCCGCCCTCAGCCTCCCAAAGTGCTGGGATTACAGGCGTGAGCCACCGCGCCCGGCCAAGATTCTTTTTTTTTTTTTTTTGGAGACAGAATCTTGGTCTCTCCACCAGGGTGGGGTGCAGTGGTGCACTTGGCTTGCTACAGCTCAAACTCCCAGGCTCAAGTGATCCTCCTGCCTCAGCCTCCTGAGTAACTGGAACTACAGGTGCATACGATGATACCTTACTAATTTTTTTTTTTTTTTCAAGAGACACAGTCTTGCTATTGTTGCCTAGCCTGGCTGGGGCATGTCAGAATCTTTTTTTTTTTTTTTTTTTTTTTTTTTTTTTTTTTTTTTTTTGGAGACAGTTTTGCTCTGTCGCCCAGGCTGGAGTGCACTGGTACTATCTTGGCTCACTGCAATCTCTGCCTCCCGGGCTCAAGTGATCCTCCCATGTCAGCCTCTTGAGTAGCTGGGACCACAGGCGCACACTACTATGCCTGGCTAATTTATTTATTTATTTTATTTTTTGAGACAGTGTAACTCTGTTGGCCAGGCTGGAGTGCAGTGGCACAGTCTCGGCTCACTGCAACCTCCTCTTCCCAGGTTCAAGCAGTTCACTGCCTCAGCCTCGCAAGTAGCTGGGATTACAGGCGCCTGCCACCACACCTGGCTAATTTTTGTATTTTAGTAGAGACGGGGTTTCACCAATTTGGCCAGGCTGGTCTTGAACTCCTGACGTCGTGATTCACTCACCTCGACCTCCCAAAGTGCTGAGATTATAGGCGTGCGCCACCACGCCCAGCCAATTTTTTTATTTTTTGTAGAAATGAGGTTTCACTATGGTGCCCAGGCTGGTCTTGAACTCCTGAGCTCAAGTGATCCTCCTACCTCGCCTCCCAAAGTGCTGGGATTAAAGACGTGAGCCCCACAGCACCCTGCCCAGATGTGAGAAACGTTGAATTCTAAAATTGCTGGCAGGCCAGGTGTGGTGAGAGTCCTGGTGACAGCAACCTGTGAGGATTGTTACCTGTGTGTAAGGATAGGCATGCCATCATCCCTTCCTCCCCTTCCTCCACACTTGTGCTCAGCTGGCATCGTCACGACACAGGCTGGGCCATCATCCCTTCCTCTCCTTCCTCCACACGTGTGCTCAGCCGGCATTGTCACGACACAGGCTGGGTTAGCTGCTTGGTTTTCTCTTTTTTTGCAGACAGGGTCTTGTTGCCCAGGCTAGGGGGCAGCCTTGACCTCCCAGGAGGCTCAGGTGACCTCCTACCTCAGCCTCCCAAGTAACTGGGACCACAGGCGCACACCAGCACGCTTGGCCACGCTTGGCCACACTTGGCTTTTTAAATTTTTTTGTAGAGACAAGATCTCACTCTTTTGCCAGGGCTGCTCTCAAAATCATGGGCTCAAGCCATCCCCCCACCTCAGTTTCCCAAAGTGCTGGGATTACAGGCATGAGCCACTGCACCAAGCCTGCTGCTATTTTTTTCTCAACCTCTGTGTCTTATGTGTCTCTCTATCCCCTTCTTTCTGTCCCTCCTTTTCTCAGCATCCTATGACCCATACAGTGACTTCAGGCCTCTGTAATTTTTAGAGAGTTCTTCAGGAAACAACAGAGGGGCCAATAGGCAAGCTGTTCCATCTGTAAGTGAGGTCAGGCTGGGCCTGGAAGAGGCCCTGCGGCTGGACTTACGTTGGCTTTGGCCAGTAGATGTGCCTGCGTACATTTTTAGGGAACCCAGTACAAGCCCAGATGCATAATTTGAAAGTTCCTGATACTGTATGAAATGCATAAATGGTGTGGAGGCTCATGCCTGTAATTAGCTGGGCATGGTGGCGTGCACCTGTAGTCTCAGCTACTCGGGAGGCTAAGGTTGGAGGATCCCATGAGCCCAAGAGTTACAGGCTGCAGTGAGCCATGATGGTGTCAGTGCTCTCCAGCCTGAGTGACAGAGTGAGACCCTGTCTCAAAAACAAAAGATAAAAAGATGGCCAGGCGTGGTGGCTCACACCTGTAATCATAGCACTTTGGGAGGCCGAGGCGGGCGGATCACGAGGTCAGGAGATCGAGACCATCTTGGCTAACATGGTGAAACCCCATCTCTACTAAACAAAATACAAAAAATTAGCTGGGCGTGGTGGCGGGCGGCTGTAGTCCCAGCTACTAGGGAGGCTGAGGCAGGAGAATGGCGTGAACCCGGGAGGCAGAGCTTGCAGTGAGCTGAGATAGCGCCACTGCACTCCAGCCTGGGCAACAGATCGAGACTCTGTCTTAAAAAAACAAACAAAAAAAACCTTTATATTTCATTTTGCAACAAGAGACATTTTATAAATAAATGCCAAAACATAAGGTTTTTTTTTGTTTTTAGAGGCAGGATCTGGCTCTGTTGCCCAGGCTGGAGTGCAGTGATGTGATCTCGGCTCACTGCAACCTCTGCCTCCTGGGCTCAAGCAGTCCACCCACCTCAGCCTCCCGAGTAGCTGGTTCTATGAGCAGCCACCACCACACCCAGCTAATTTTTGTATTTTTTGTAGAGACGGTTTCACCATGTTGCTCAGGCTGGTCTCAAAAACTCCTGAGCTGAAGCAATCCATCCACCTGTGTCAGGCTCACCAAGTGCTGGGATTGCAGGCGTCAGCCACTGCGCCCGGCCATGGTTGGTTTTTTTGACCCCTCATTGGGTAATGATCAGGTAACAAGCGGCTTTGAGGGAGCAGCAAGGTCTGTCCGATGGTGGGATTTGGGGGCTGGGCAGGCAGTGGCTTGTGAAGTAGAGCTTACTGAATGAGGTGGGGGTTTTCTGGGAGCTAATTGGACCTGGAGTTTTGGCCTCTACCTGCCCATATGGGAAAAGGCTTGCCTGGGTCAGGAGGTGATAGGAACACTTGATTCTCTAGGACCAAGTGACCTATGCTTGCCATGATCGCTTTCTGCTGTGCAAGCAGTAACAGGCCAGGTCTTGTGCGAGTGGGCTGGGGGATTGTGCTGCTGCCATATGCTAAAGCGGGGAGAAGGCGGCCAGGCACAGTGGCTCACGCCTGTAATCCAAGCACTTTGGGAGGCCAAGGCAGGTGGATCACAAGGTCAGGAGTTCGAGACCAGCCTGGCCAAGATGGTGAAACTCCATCTCTACTAAAAATACAAAAATTAGCTGGGCACGGTGGCAGGCGCCTGTAGTCCCAGCTACTCGGGAGGCTGTGGCAGGAAAATTGCTCGAACCTGGGAGGCAGAGCTTGCAGTGAGCTGAGATCACGCCACTGTCATCCAGCCTGGGTGACAGAGACTCCGTCTCAAAAAAAAAAAAAAAAAAAAACGGAGAAAGCTGCTTCTCCTCGGACAGGGCCTGCGGAGCAGGCAGAAAGCTGAGGGTAGTGAGTACAAAGAAAGGGAATAGTAGCTAACTCACTGAAGTTGGGATTGCTCATGCAGAGACAGCTGAGATTTCCAATAATTATCACTTTCCTTTTTTAATCAAAAAGTATCATTATCTGGAATCCCTTTTACTTTCTGTATTCTCTGTTTTTCCACACTGCTAAAAACACTTTTCCTTCTGCCTGCATTAACCACAAGTAATCAGTCTGGTGGCTGGGGCTGGGGAGGCAGCAAATGGCCATTTCTGTAATATCCCTAGAGCAGTCACATGGGCAGGGTGTGCCTAACCAGAGAATGGAGTTGTTCAGCTTGCATTCCTACCTGGAAATAAAGTGCTCTCCTTATTCTCCTCCTGCAGGTCGGTGAGCTGGTAAAGGTTACGAAGATTAATGTGAGTGGTCAGTGGGAAGGGGAGTGTAATGGCAAACGAGGTCACTTCCCATTCACACATGTCCGTCTGCTGGATCAACAGAATCCCGATGAGGACTTCAGCTGAGTATAGTTCAACAGTTTTGCTGACAGATGGGAACAATCTTTTTTTTTTTTTTCCAACTGCCATCTATACAATTTTCTTACAGATGTCAAAAGCAGTCTAGTTTATATAAGCATTCTGTTACCTGTGATATTTTTTAGACTGAACTGCTCCATTCCTAGTCTTAATTACCATATTCAGGGTACGAACTGGAGGGCTTGTGTGTTAGCTTCTGAATTGGCAATTGGAGGCGGTAGTGGTCGTGCCTGTGTGTATCAGAAGGGATAGGTATCTTGCCTCCTTTCTCTCAGGCAGTGCAAATCACCCTGTGGAAAACCGATGGACAGGAAGGAGTGTTACACACTGCTTACCCTGATTTATTCAGTGGTTTTGTTTTCATTCTGGAACCATACTATCAAATGGCGACAGACTGTTCCGTTCCACCCCCGTGAAGTAATCATGCACCGTGTGAATAGTATCAAGCAGGATTGCTTTCATTGTATGGAGCATGACCAGCGTGTGACTCATTCTGACATTTCAGATCCTAAGAATTCTAAGAACACTACTAGAAGCATTTGTTCCCTCCTAGTCAATGCTTCATACTTTTTCTTGGGATTCTTTTAGCCCTTGACATTCTTGTCCCCCAAACCTGTAAGTAGGTGAATTCCTAAGATAAGTGTGTATTTTCATTCCAGGTGAAAAGCAGGATGTACCGAGCACTTTATTCAGTGCATAGCTTTAAGCCAGTGTTGGATTCACTAAGTGGACAGCCAGTCTCCCAGCTCTCTGCCTTCCCCAAAAGGGTCGTAGTAGGTCACCCTTCTACAGCAGCTAACTAGAGTCCTAACTAATGGGATCCAGCAGGGCCATTTCTCCAGAGGGCCAGTATCCTATTAGGAGACTCTTGGAATTCTTAGGTTCTACTCAAGAGTGGAAGGACCAATCACCTCTGATATTCTGTGGAAGGTTTTGGGGTCAAATTCTGCCCTCTGCATTCTGTGCAACTTGTATAAAAGTCAAGTTAGTATTACATGAATTTGGGGTAGGGTTAGTGCTTTGAAAAAATGTTGAACCGGCTGGGCGCGGTGGCTCACGTCTGTAATCCCAGCACTTTGGGAGGCCGAGGCGGGTGGATCATGAGGTCAGGAGTTCGAGACCAGCCTGGCCAACATAGTGAAACCCCATCTCTGCTAAAGATATAAAAAATTAGCCCGGCGTGGTGGTGCACGCCTGTAATCCCAGCTACTCGGGAGGCTGAGGCAGGAGAATTGCTTCAACCTGGGAGGTGGAGGCTGCAGTGAGCCGAGATCGCACCACTGCGTTCCAGCCTGAGCGACAGGGCAAGACTCAGTCTCAAAAAAAAAAAAAAGGAAAAAAAAAAGAAAAAAAAATGTTGAACCAATTGTGAATTACTTATGTATTATTCATTTCTCATGGGGAGAGTAATGCTGTTGAAGAACATTACATTGTAAACTGCCTTCATTTTTGGCTCTTTGTTTATGTTCAGGTTTAGTTTACAAACCCATTTAAGTATGGAATGATTTATATGGGGTCAGGTGCTCCACAAAATAGACCTATGAGACCAAAAATGACCTAGGCTATTTAGACGACAGCATGAAACTTCCACGTTAGTTCTCAGTCTATAAAGGCACTTACCGGTCTCTGGTGTGGTATGACCAATAGAAACACCTTATAGTTTGCTTTGGACCTCATTTTGGAAAAATAATCTGCCTTTCTAATTGTTCTGCATAGGTTAAAATGATAAATTTACATTCTTTGAACCTATACCAGATTGTGGTGTCCGAGTGACCGGCACACTGTCTGACACACAGTCAGTGTGCACGTATTTGTCTGAGTGAATGAGGAGACCTGAGAAACCGGTGACGTGGCACAGGGAAGCCAGCTGGCCCAGGATTCCGTACATGGCCGCAAGCAGACTAACGCGTTGACGCTAATTTAATGTATTTTACCTCACACTAAGGTCATGCTTGATAAAGACGTTAAACTCAACTTGTAAAATGGTAGCCCAGTGCTATGCACAGAGTGGGTGCTCATTAGTGTTGAATGAACACATTTGTAATACTACATGTAATTCCATCTGACTGCTTTGTTAAATTTTCAGTTAGAACGTAGATACTGTAAAGTCCACACACACATTAAATCTTGTTTTCCTGAAAGTATGGCATCAAAAATACTTGTAGAAAAACCTTGTCACAACTGATTTGAATGTTCCTATTTTCTTTTCCTTTGACTTTGATATTGGCTTGTAATGTCTCTTTTCATCATATGTAATATCAGTGGAACAGGCAGCGCTACTCAAGTCCTAAGGATTCCTCAGTGATCAGTGATCCAGGGCCGTTCATGAACCACTGGGCTGGATTTGACTGTTGAGTGTGGCAGTTAATGCCCCTCAAGAAATCAAAGGATGTCTTATAAGTGTCTTCCAAAAAAAAGCAAATGCTGAAATCCTATTGGCAAAGTAAACTGAAATTGGCTGCTATATTTTATATAATCATTTCTGCAAATCCCATTTTTTGAATACTAATATTTGACATGGTTAATTCTTATTAATTTGTTGGAATTGTTTATTGTTAATAATGCAAATAGATAATTTTTAATTATCCACAAGTAACATTTCACTGTTAATGGTTTGAAATAGGTGATAAGCAAACCAATTTGAAATAAAATATAAACATGTGCCATTGTATTATAACACTATACACTTTCTTGACAGTTAAATTTAAAAAAAAATTTTTTTTGGTAGCATGTATTGTATATGTTTATAGTATATGTAGTAAATAAAAATATGGCCAAATGTTTGGCTTGGTGATCTTTTGCAAAAAAGTAATCTTTGAATATTTTTCACAAAAGAACTAAATCTTTTTTTTTTTTTGAGACAGAGTTTCGCTCTTGTGACCTAAGCTGGGGTGCAGTGATGCGATCTCGGCTCACTGCAACTTCCGCCTCCCACGTTCAAGCAATTCTCCTACCTCTGCCTCCCGAGTAGCTGGGGTTACAGGCATGCACCACCACGCCCAGCTAATTTACTGTATTTTTAGTAGAAATGGGGTTTCACCATGTTAGCCAGGCTGGTCTCAAATTCCTGACCTCGGGTGATCCGCCTGCCTCCGCCTCCTAAAGTGCTGGGATTACAGGCTTCAGCCACCACCGCACCCAGCGAGAGGTAAATCTTTATGCTTAGGGGATAGGAGGTATGTGCCTTCAGCAGCCTGCAGTCATATAATTAGATAAACAATTATACAAGCTCAGTGGGTGCTTATTAAAGATGGGATTAGGCCGGGTGTGGTGGCTCATGCCTGTAATCCCAGCACCTTGGGAGGCAGAGGCGAGCGGATCAGAAGGTCAGGAGTTCGAGACCAGCCTGGCCAACATAGTGAAACTCCGTCTCTACTAAAAATACTAAAATCTGGCTGGGCATGATGGCTCACGCCTGTAATCCCAGCACTTTAGGAGGCTGAGGTGGGTGGATCACAAAGTCAGGAGATCGAGACCATCCTGGCTAACATGGTGAAACCCGGTCTCCACTAAAAATACGAAAAATTAGCCGGGCGTGGTGGCACGCGCCTGTAGTCCCAGCTGCACGGGAGGCTGAGGCAGGAGAATCGCTTGAACCCGGGAGGCAGAGCTTGCAGTGATCCAAGATGGCACCACCGTACTCCAGCCTGGGCAACAGAGCGAGACTCTGTCTCAATTAATCAATCAATAAAATACAAAAATTAGCCAGGCGTTGTGGCGTGCACCTATAGTCCCAGCTACTCGGGAGGCTGAGGCAGATGAATTACTTGAACCTGTGAAGTGGAGATTGTAGTTAGCCGAGATCACGCCACTGCACTCCAGCCTGGGTGACAGAGCAAGACTCCATCTCAGGGAAAAAAAAAAAAAAGATGGGATTAATCAATGGTGATATATATAGACACAGATTTTTTTTTAATTATTTATTTATTTATTTTTGTTGAGATGGAGTTTCGCTCTTGTTGCCCAGGCTGGAGTGTAGTGCTGCGTTCTTGGCTCACTGCAACCTCCACCTCCTGGGTTCAAGCAATTCTCCTGCCTCAGCCTCCCGAGTAGCTGGGATTACAGGCATGCGCCACCATGCCCGGCTAATTTTGAATTTTTAGTAGAAACGGGATTTCTCCATGTTGGTCAGGCTGGTCTGGAACTCCCAACCTCAGGTGATCCGCCTGCCTCAGCCTCCCAAAGTGCTAGGATTACAGGGATGAGCCACCGTATCCGGCCTTTTTTTTTTTTTTTTTTTTTGGCGGGGCGCAGGGTGGGGGGCGGGGACGGAGTTTCACTCTTGTTGTGCAGGCTGGAGTATAGTGGCGCTATCTCAGCTCGTTGTAACCTCTGTCTCCTGTGTTCAAGCGATTCTCCTGCCTCAGCCTCCCGAGTAGCTGGGATTACAGGCACGTGCCACCATACCTGGCTAATTTTTGTATTTTTAGTAGAGATGGGGTTTCACCATTTTGGCCAGGCTGGTCTCAAACCTCCTGACCGCAGGTGATCCACTTTGGCCCCCCAAAGTACTGGGATTACAGGCGTGAGCCACCGCGCCTGGCCTCGTGATTTTTTTTTTTTTCAAGACAAAATTTTCCTCTTGTGCCCCAGGCTGGAGGGCAGTGGCGTGATCTCAGCTTACTCCAACCTTGCCTCCCGGGTATAAGCGATTCTCCTGCCTCAGCCTCCCGAATAGCTGGGATTACAGGTGCACGCCACCAGGCCCTGCTAATTTTTGTATTTTTAGTAGAGATGGTGTTTCACCATGTTGGCTAGGCTGGTCTTGAACTCTTGACCTCAGGTGATCCACCCGCCTCGGCCTCCCAGTGTGCTGGAATTACAGGCGTGAGCCACTGCGCCCGGCCTCTGGCCTGGTGATATTTTTAAAGGTCTCCATGAGTATGAGTCATAAAATACTGATTTGAGGGGACCATAAGAATCATATAAAGGCCTGAAAGCAGGCCAGGTACAGTGGCTTATGCCTGTAATCCTCGCACTTGGGAGGCCTAGGTGGTGGAATCATTTGAGATCAGGAGTTTGAAACCAGCCTGGCCCACGTGGTGAAACACTGTCTCTACTAAAAATACAAAAAAAAATTAGCTGGGTGTGGTGGTGTGCGCCTGTAATCCCAGCCACTTAGGCCGCTGAGGCAGAAGAGTTGCTTGAACCCAAGAGGCTGACGGTGCAGTGAGATTGTGCCACTTCACTCCAGCCTGAGCGACAGGGTAAGACCCTGTCTGAAACAAAACCCAAAACCAAAAAAAACCCTGTTGAATGGCGTGTTCTTTTATATAGTCTACAGTATTCATACCAGCTGTCGTATTTTATGACCTGGACTTCCAGGTTAAATTCTGTTCCTCTTACAGGTATGAAAAGATGAGAGGGGGCCGGTATAGAAGAAAATGTGAAAATAACCATTAACCCTGCTAAGTTTGACAGGGAGAGGCGGAGAAAGTGGCGTGCTGTTGCCACCCATGTTCTGAAGACTGTGAAATGGGAGATAAGGTAGAGGCAAAAAAGAACCTTTAGCCATCTAGAAGTGAAGCTCAAAAACAGAGCAGGCCGGGCGCGGTGGCTCACGCCTCATCCCAGAACTGTGGGAGCCCGAGGCGGGTGGATTATGAGGTCAGGAGATCGAGACCATCCTGGCTAACACGGTGAAACCCCATCTCTACTAAAAATACAAAAAACTAGCCAGGTGTAGTGGCGGACGCCTGAGTCCCAGCTACTCCGGAGGCCGAGGCAGAGTGGCTTGAACCTGGGAGACGGAGTTTGCAGTGAGCCGAGACCACGCCACTGCACTCCAGCCTGGACGTCAGAGTGAGACTCCATCTCAAAAAAAAAAAAAAAAAAGCCAGGTGTGGTGGCAGGTGCCTTTAATCCCAGCTACTCGGGAAGCTGAGGCAGGAGAATCACTTCAACCGGGGAGGCAGAGGTTGCAGTAAGCTGAGATCGCACCATTGCACTCCGGCCTGGGCAACAGAGCGATACTGTCTCAAAAATAAATAAATAATATAAAATTAGCCGGGCATGGTGGGGGATGCCTGTAATCTCAGCTACTCAGGAGGCTGAGGTGGGAGACTCTCTTGAACCTGGGAGGCAGAGGTTGCAGTGAACCAAGACCACACCACTACACTCCAGCCTGGGCGACAGAACCAGACTCCGTTTCAAAAAGCAAACACGCAAAAAATCTATGATACTTAGAAAAAAGGAATGAATGTGATGAGTGTTGTTTTTTTTTTTTTTTTTTTGAGGTGGAGTTTTGCTCTGTTGTCCAGCCTGGAGTGCAATGGTGCCATCTCAGCTCACCACAACCTCCACCTCCCAGGTTAAAGCGATTCTTCTGCCTCAGCGTCCCAAGTAGCTGGGATTCCAGTGCGTGCCACCACGTCCGGCTAATTTTTTGTATTTTTAGTAGAGATGGGGTTTCACCATGTTGGCCAGGCTGGTCTTGAACTCCTGACCTTGTGATCTGCCCACCTCAGCCTCCCAAAGTGCTGGGATTACAGGCGTGAGCCACCATGCCCGGCCCTTTGTTTGTTTCTTTTGAGAGACAAAACTCACTGTTGCCCAGGCTGGGATGCAACAGTGCAACCCGGACTCAGCGCAGCCTGGACCTCCGGGACTCAAGCAATCTGCCCACCTATGCCTCCAAAATAGCTGGGACGACAGTTGCGCACCACCACACCTGGCTAGTTTGTTAATTTTTGGTAGAGATGAGGGTTTTGCTATGGCTGCTCTTGAACTCCTAGGCTCAAGTAATCCTCCTGCCTCAACCTCCCAAAATGCTGGGATTATCTGTGTGAGCTGCCATTCCCGGCTGAATGTGATTTTTTTTGTTTTTTGTTTGTTTGAGATGGGGTCTCACTCTGTTGCCCAGGCTGGAGTGCAGTGGCGTGATCTCAGCTCACAGAAACCTCCGCCTCCTGGACTCAAGCGATCCTCCCACCTCTCAGCCTTCCAGGCAGCTGGGACTACAGGCGCACACCACCATCCCCAGCTAATTTTTGAGGTTTTTTAAAATTACTATTTTTTAAGAGATGGGGTGTTGCTATGTAGCCCAGGCTGGTCTCAAAGGATCCACCTGCCTTGGCCTCCAAACATGCTGGGATTACAGGCCTGAGCCACCACGCCTGGCCAAAGTGAGGTTCTTGATCGTATTTTCTTTTTTTCTTTTCTTTTTTTTTTTTTCCGAGACAGAGTCTTATTCTGTCACCCAGGCTGGACTACAGTGGTACAATCTTGCCTCACTGCAACCTCCGCCTCCTGGGTTCAAGAAATTCTCCTGCCTCAGCCTCCCAAGTAGCTGGGATTACAGGCGCCCACCATCACACCCAGCTAATTTTTGTATTTTTAGTAGAGACGGGGTTTTACCGTATTGGCCAGGCTAGTCTTGAACTCCTGACCTCAGGTAATCCACCTGCCTCAGCCTTCCAAAGTGCTAGGATTACAGCCGTGAGCCACTGCGCCTGGCTCAAGACCCCGTCTGTTAAAAAAACACAAAACTATCAGTTCTCGCTGGATGGACGTCTCCATTTGGAAGTGGTGAAGGCACCTCACACTCAACATATTCCAAGCCAAATTCATGATCCCTGCTGGGCGTGATGGCTCATGCCGGTAATCCTAACACTTTGCAAGCGGAGGCAGGAGAATCACTTGAGTTCAGGAGTTCGAGACCAGCCTGGGCAACACAGTGAGACCCTGTCTCTAAAAAATAAAAATAGGCTGGACACGGTGGCTCACACCTGTAATCCCAGCACTTTGGGAGGCCGAGGCGGGTGGCTCACGAGTCAGGAGATCCGAGTCAGGAGATCGAGACCATCCTGGCTAATATGGTGAAACCCCATCTCTACTAAAAATACAAAAAATTAGCTGTGCAAGGTGGCGAGTGCTTGTAGTCCCAGCTACTCTGGAGGCTGAGGCAGGAGAATGGCATGAACCCAGGAGGTGGAGCTTGCAGTGAGCCAAGATCACGCCACTGCACTCCAGCTGGGACAACAGAGCGAGACTCTGTCTCCAAAAAAAAAAAAAAAAAAAAAAAGGCCGGGTGTGGTGGCTCACACCTGTAATCCCAGCACTTTGGGAGGCTGAGGCGGGTGGATCAGATCAGGAGTTCAAAACCAGCCTGGCCAAGATGCTGAAACCCCGTCTCTACTAAAAATACAAAAAAATTAGCTGGGCGTGGTGGCAGGTGCCTATAATCTCAGCCAATCGTGAGGCTGAGGCAGAGAACTGCCTGAATCCGGGAGGCGGAGGTTGCAGTGATCCGAGATTGTGCCACTGCACTCCAGCCTGACCAACAGAGCGAGACTCACTCGTCTAAATAAAATAAACTAAAATAATTTTTAAAAATTAGCCAGGCATGGTGGCAGGTGCCCGTAGTCCCAGATACTCGAGAGGCTGAGGCAGGAGAATCGCTTGAACCCGGGAGGTGGAGGTTGCAGTGAGCCGCGATCGCACCACTGCACTCCAACCTGGGCAACAGGGTGAGACCCCATCTCAAAAATAAAAACAAATTGATGATCCCGCTCCCCATTTGCTCCTCGTTCAGCTTTCCTATCTCAATGTCTATCACCGCTGGCCAGGCCACAGCTCTGGAGGCAATCCTCTCCTCTTTCCTCTCGCTGGTCATTTACCAAGTCCTTAGTCCTGCACAGTTCACTTTCCTCCCTCCCCACTGCTGCCACCGTAGTTCAAACTGCCAGCGCCTCGTCTGGATGACCTCAACAGCTGCCTAACTGGGCTCCTTGTCACTAGTTTTGGCCCTTCCAGTCCATCCACATCGCAGCCCCTGTGAGCTTTTATATCATCTCCTATTAGATTATATTCTCCTTCAGCCAGTGTCTAAACTCTCTGCAAAGGGAAACGGAGCTCTTCATGTTCGAGCTCCTCCTTCCCTTCCCAGCCTCATCTTCCTCACTCTCCCTCTGGTGCTCTGGGCTCCAGCCACACTGAATTTCTTGCCCTGTCTTTACCTGACCCACCTGCTCTCTCCTCTGGGTTTTTGGACACTGTAACTCTATCTCATTTTCAAACATCAGTCTTATCTAACGTCCTAATTTGGGTTAGGTGCCTGTCCTGTGTCCTGTCTTGCTAACATGCACTTACTGGCGTGACCTCACACTGAGCTGAGATTGCCCGTGAGTGTATCCATCACAAGGCCACAGCTACTCATTGTTGTATTCCCAACACCCAGCCCTGCTAGACACAGCAGATACCCAGAGGTTGTATTCTGAACCAAAAAGTGAAAACAGAATAGGTGGGCTAGAAGTCATCAAAAGCCATGTGGGCACGGTGGCTTACCCCTGTAATCCTAGCACTTTGGGAGGCCGACTTGGGCAGATCACCTGAGGTTGGGAGTTAGAGACTAGCCTGGCCAACATGGTGAAACCCCATGTCTAATAGAAAAATTAAGGCCGGCCACGGTGGCTCACGCCTGTAATTCCAGCACTTTGGGAGGCCAAGACGGGTGGATCACTTGAGGTCAGGAGTTCCAGACCAGCCTGGCCAACATGGTGAAACCCTGTCTCTACTAAAAATACAAAAACTAGCTGGGCCTAGTGGCAGGCACCTGTAATCCTAGCTACTTGGGAGGCTGAGACAGGAGAATTGCTTGAACCTGGGAGGTGGAGGTTGCAGTGAGCTGAGATCACACTGCTCTCAGCCTGGGAGAAAGAGCAAGACTCTGTCTCAAAAAAAAAAAAAAAAAAAAAAAAAAAATTAGCCGGGCGTTGTGGCGCACACCTGTAGTCCCAGCTACTTGAGAGGCTGAGGCAGGAGAATCACTTGAACCCAGGAAGCGGAGGTTGCAGTAAGTCGAGATCACACCATTTCACTCCAGCCTGAGCATCACAGCAAGACTCTGTCTCAAAACAAACAAAGTTACTCTATCAGTTAGCTTTGCTGCAAAGTAAACCATGCCAATCCTTAGTGGCTTAAAATAACAATCACTTAGCCATCTTATAATTACACAGGTCAGCAGCTGGGGTTGGGCTCAGCTGGGCAGTTCTCCAAGTCTTGGCCAGTTTCACTCATGGATGAGGTCAGATGCTGATTGGCAGGGGCTGGTTGATCTTGGATGGCCCTCAGCTGACACAGTTTATCTCTACTTCCTGTGGTCTCCCATCCTCCAGCAGGGCTGCCTGGACTGAGTCCGTGGCTATTGGCAGGGTTCCAAGAGACCAAGGTCTCTTAAGGTGTAGCCGTGGAATTGACACAATGTCAGTCCCCTACATTCTTTTTGTTATTTTCCCCAATTTAAATCTTTTAATTTAAAAGTAAACTTTACTGTTGAAAATGCAAACTTGGGGCCGGGTGCAGTGCCTCACGCCTGTAATCCCAGCACTTTGGGAGACCGAGGCAAGTGGATCACGAGGTCAGGAGATCGAGACCATCCTGGCTAACACGGTGAAACCCCGTCTCTACTAAAAATATAAAAAATCTAGCAGCTGGGTGTGGTGGCAGGCGCCTTAATCCCAGCTACTCGGGAGGCTGAGTTCAGAAGAATGGCTTGAATCCGGGAGGCAGAGGTTGCACTGAGCCAAGATTGCGCCACTGCACTCCAGCCTGGGTGAAAGAGCGAGACTCTGTCTCAAAGATTAAAAAAAAAAGAAAATGCAAACTTGGGGAGGGCAGAAAGGTCACACACAAGGCTGCCACGTCACACCTGGAGAGTTGCACAGCTGCCGAGCAGAGGTGCTCCTTGCTTCCCAGAAGGTGCAGCCGCCGAACTCCCCTGCATTCTATTGATGAAAGCAAGGCACAAGGCCAGCCGAAACTCCAGCAGGCTTTGTCTGCTTGCAGGATCATCACTTTTGTTTAGTTTTGTGTGTTTGAGACAGGGTCTCATTTTGTCACCCAGGCTGCAGTGCAGTGGCAGAGTCACAGCTCACTGCAGCCTCGACCACCTGGGCTCAAAGTATCCTCCCAACTTAACCTTGTGATTGGTAGGAACTACAGGTGCGCGCCACCGCGCCCAGCTAGGTTTTGTATTTTTTATAGAGATGGGGGTGTCACCATGTTGGCCAGGTCGGTCTAGAACTCCTGAGCTCAAGCAGTCCTCCTGCCTCAGCCTCCCCTACTGCTGGGAAGGACCCTCTTTTTCTGTGAGATGGAGTCTCGCTCTATCGCCCAGACTGGAGTGTAGTGACGCAATCTTGGCTCACTGCATCCTCCGCCTCCTAGGATCAAGCGATTTTCCTGCCTCAGCCTCCTGAGTAGCGGGGATTACAGGTACCTGCCACCACGCCTGGCTATGTTTTGTATTTTTAGTAGAGACGGGGTTTCGCCATGTTGCTTAGGCGGGTCTTGAACTCCTGAGCTCAGCTGATCTGCCTGCCTCAGCCTCCCAAAGTGCTGGGATTACAGGTGTGAGCCACTGCACCCAGCAGGATCATTTTTTAATTCAAACAAGGGCATTTCTTTAGCAGGAGTACCTTTTTTAATGAGTCCCACAAAAGTTCCTTATGAGCCAACAGGGCCCTGCTATTCAAATGAAAGTTAGCACAGAGCTGGTTACTAAAGAATATGCAAGGGCACAGGGTACGCAACGCAGCAAAATGAAGTCAGCACAAAACGAAAGACACAACTCTTATTAATGGATCAGAATAAATCAATGAGGAATAGAGAGAAACGCGAGCAAGGAAAAACAACAAAGACTCAGTGAGGTTAATATGTCTACATTGAATTCAGAAGTCACCGGAAAAACAAAGCACACAAAATATGATTTATTTCTATAAAAGACAAATCTATAGAGATAGGAAATAGATGAGTGGTTGCCTAGGGCTGGGAGTAGGAATGGAGGTTGATTGTAAATGGGCACAAAGTTTGATTTTAGTTTGATGGGAATGCTCTAAAATGGGACTGTGGCGATGGCGGGATAACTCTGTAATAGACTAAAACTCATTGAATTCTTGCTCAAAATAGGTGAATTCATGGTGTGGAAATTGTTTCTCAATGAACATATTCTTTTTATTTTGTTTTGCTTTTTGAGGCGGAGTCTTGCTCTGTCTAGAGACGGGGTTTTACCATGTTGACCCAGCTGGTCTCCAATTCCTGACCTCAGGTGATCTGCCCACCTCAGCGTCCCAAGTGCCAGGGTTACAGGCATGAGCCCCCGTGCCCGGCCCCAGCAAACATATTCTTTAAATATTGTCACTTGTCAGTCTTAGCACAATAAGACCAAAGGAAGCTTGCAGCAAGCACCACCTCTGAGGTATTCTGGCAAAAAAAACCAAAAAAAAACAAAAAACAAAACCTGAACCTGGCTGTCATCCAACCACCACTTTACAGGAAATTTAAGGAATAGGAAACAATTTAAACAGCATCACAAGGAAGCAAAGAAACAAGTCCAGAGGGCCGGGTGTGCTGGCTCACACCTGTAATCACGAGGTCAGGAGATCGAGACCATCCTGGCTAACATGGTGAAACCGTATCTCTACTAAAAATACAAAAATTACCTGGGCGTGGTGGCAGGCGCCTTAATCCCAGCTACTCGGGAGGCTGAGTTCAGAAGAATGGCTTGAACCCGGGAGGTGGAGGTTGCAGTGAGCGGAAATTGCGCCACTGCACTCCAGCCTAGGTGACAGAGCGAGACCCCCTGTTTCAAAAAAAAAAAAAAAAAGTCCAGAGTGTGAGATACTTTACATGACAAACAGCCCAGAGTTGTCGTCTTTTCATACATGATATGAAAAATAAAATGGCCAGGCGCGGTGGCTCATGCCTGTAATCCCAGCACTTTGGGAGGCCGAGGCGGGCGGATCACCTCAGGTTGGGAGTTCGAGACCAGCCTGACCAACATGGAGAAACGCCGTCTCTACTAAAAACACAAAATTAGCCAGGCGTGGTGGCACATGCCTGTAATCCCAGCTACTAGGGAGGCTGAGACAGGAGAATTGCTTGAACCCGGGAGGTGGAGGTTGTGGTGAGCCGAGATTGTGCCATTGTACTCCAGCCTGGGCAATAAGAGTGAAACTCCATCTTTAAAAAAAAAAAGAAAAGAAAAGAAAGAAAGAAAAAGGCAGGAAGGGGCCAGGCGCAGTGGCTCACGCCTGTAATCCCACCACTCTGAGAGGCTGAGGTGGGCAGATCACCTGAGGTCAGGAGTTCGAGACCATCCTGGTGAACATGGCGAAACCCTGTCTCTACTAAAAATACAAAAATTAGGGCCGAGCGCAGTGGCTCATGCCTGTAATCCCAACACTTTAGAAGGCTTAGGCAGGCAGATTACCTGAGATTGGGAGTTAGAGACCAGCCTGGCCAACATGGTGAAACCCTGTCTCTACTAAAAATACAAAAAATTAGCCGGGCATGGTAGTGGACACCTGTAGTCCCAGCTACTCAGGAGGCTGAGGCAGGAGAATGGCGTGAACCTGGGAGGTGGAAGTTGCAGTGAGCCGAGATCGTGCCACTGCACTCCAGCCTGGGCAGCGGAGTGAGACTCCATCTCAAAAAAAGAAAAAAATATTATTTATCAGAAACCAATAGTAAACCTCAATGGTGAAACACTAGAGTCATTCCTATTAAAATCAAGTATTCAATAGAATTCAATAATGCCCATTATTATATCTCTTATTTAATACTTCTCTGAAGCTCCAAGTCAATGCAGAAAGAAGTTAGAATTAAATAAGAACTTGGCTGGGCGCGGTGGCTCACGCCTGTCATCCCAGCACTGTGGGAGGCCGAGGCGGGCGGATCACGAGGTCAGGAGATCGAGACCATCCTGGCTAACACGGTGAAACCCCGTCTCTACTAAAAATACAACAAATTAGCCGGGCGTGGTGGCGGGCGCCTGTAGTCCCAACTCGGGAGGCTGAGGCGGGAGAATGGTCTGAACCCGGGAGGCGGAGCTTACAGTGAGCTGAGATCGCGCCACTGCACTCCAGCCTGGGCGACAGAGCAAGACTCCGCCTCAAAAAAAAAAAAAAATTAGCCGGGCATGGTGGTGGGCGCCTGTAGTCCCAGCTACTAGGGAGGCTGAGGCAGGAGAATGGCGTGAACCTGGGAGGCAGAGGTTGCAGTGAGCCGAGATTGTGCCAGTGCACTCCAGCCTGGGCAACACAGTGAGACTCTGTCTCAAAAAAAAAAAAAAAGAACTAATAAGACAGAGTTCAGTAAGGCAGTTGGGTACAAGATAACTATCAAAAATCATGGATTTGGGGCTGGGCGCAGTGGCTCATGCCTGTAATCTCAGCACTTTGGGAGGCTGAGGCTGGCAGATGGTTGAGCCCAGGCATTTGAGACCAGACAGAGCAACATGGCGAAACCCCGTCTATACAAAAAAAAAAAAAGTGATTTTTGTATATATCAGTGGAAGTATAGATCAATCAGAAATATAAAATAGGGCCGGACGCAGTGGCTCACGCCTGTAATCCCAGCACTTTGGGAGGCTGAGGTGGGCGGATTGCCTGAGGTCAGGAGTTCAAGACCAGCCTGGCCAACATGATGAAACCCTGTCTCTACTAAAAATACAAAAATTAGCTGGGCGTGGTGGCACATACCTGTAATCCCAGCTACTCGGGAGGCTGAGGCAGGAGAATTGCTTGAACCCGGGAGGCGGAGGTTGCAGTGAGCCGAGATCGTGCCACTACACTCCAGCCTGGCCGACAGAGCGAGACTCTGTCTCAAAAAAAAAAAAAGAAAAAAAGAAATATAAAATGGGGGAGAGCCCATTTATAATTATCAATAGCCTCCTAAATACTTGGGAACAAAGTTAATTAGAAATATGTGAGACCTTTATACATCTAACTATACAATTGTACTTAAGATCATTTCAGGCTGGGCGCAGTGGCTCACGCCTGTCATCCCAGCACTTTGGGAGGCCGAGGCGGGCAGATCACCTGAGGTCAGGAGTTCAAGACTAGCCTGGCCAACATGGTGAAACCCCATCTCTACTAAAAATAAAAATTTAGCCAGGCGTGGTGGCGTGCGCCTGTAGTCCCAGCTACTCAGGAAGCTGAAGCAGGAGAATCGTTTGAACCCGGAGCAGAGGTTGCAGTGAGCCGAGATTGTGCCACTGCACTCCAGCCTAGGCGACAGAGTGAGACTTTGTCTCAAAAAAAAAAACAAAAAAATCATTTCAGCAAGGAGACTGGAATAAAATTGGAGAATTTTCCTGAGAAAACTCATTTTTGAACATATCTCCAATTCTTGGGCTGGGTGCAGTGGCTCAAGTCTGTCATCCCAGCACTTTGGGAGGGCGAGGCGGGTGGATCACCTGAGGTCAGGATTTTGAGACTAGCCTGGCCAACATGGTGAAATCCCATCTCTACTAAATACAAAAAATTAGCCAGGCGTGGTGGCACATGCCTGTAATTCCAGCTACTTGGGAGGCTGGGGCAGGAGAATCACTTGAACCTGGGAGGCAGAAGTTGCAGTGAGCCGAGATTGTGCCATTGCACTCGAGCCTGGGCCACAAGAGCGAAACTTTGTCTCAAAAAAAAAAAGAAAAAAGAAAAGAAAAAGAAAAGAAAAAAAATTTCCAATTGTCTTTTAATTAATCTATAAATTCAGAACAGCCCCCCAAAAAACCTACATGGGTCTTGAGAGAACTTTTCTTTTTTTTTTTTGAGATGGAGTCTCGCTCTGTCGCCCAGGCTGGAGTGCAGTGGTGCGATCTCGGCTCACTGCAAGCTGCGCCTCCCGGGTTCACGCCATTCTCCTGCCTCAGTCTCCCAAGTAGCTGGGACTACAGGCGCCCGCCACCACGCCCGGCTAATTTTTTGTATTTTTAGTAGAGATGGGGTTTCACCGTGTTAGCCAGGATGGTCTCGATCTCCTGACCTCATGATGTGCCCACCTCGGCCTCCCAAAGTGCTGGGATTACAGGCATGAGCCACCGCGCCCGGCCGAGAGAACTTTTCAAGTTGATTCTGAAGTTCATCTAGCAGAGTAAAAGTATAAAATCAGTGAAATTTTGAATAAAAAAATGTTCTACCAGATATAAAAACATACTATAATGGTATTATATTTAAAATCTTATCGACATAAGAACAAACAGATCAGAGGAAATGAATAGAAAAATTCTAGAACCAGACATAGGAAAATTTGAAACATAATAAACATGTCATTTCAAATCACTTTAGATATGGATTTTTTTTTTTTGAGACGAGGTCTTGATCGGTCGCCAGGCTAGAGTGCAGTGGCTCAATCTCGGCTCACTGCCCCCTCCGACTCCCTAGTTCAAGCGATTCTCCTGCCTCAGTCTTCCGAGTAGCTGGGATTACAGGTACGTGCCACCACACCTGGCTAATTTTTGCATTTTTAGTAGAGAAGAGGTTTCACTATGTTGGTCATGCTGGCCTTGAACTCCTGACATCATGATCTGCCCGCCTCGGCCTCCCAAAGTGCTGGGATTACAGGCGTGAGTCACCGCGCCAGGCCTTGTTTTGTTTTTTTGAGACATAGTGTCTGTCACCCAGGCTGGAGTAAAGTGGTGTCATCAAGTCTCACTGCAAACTCCAAGTCTTGGGCTCAAGCAATTCTCTCTCCTCAGCCTCTTAAGTAGCTGGGACTACAAGCACACACAACCGTGCCGTTAATTTTTGTATTTTTAGTAAAGAGAAGGTTTCAGTATGTTGCCTACACTGGTCTCAAACTCCTGGGCTTAAGCGATTCCCCCCACCTAAGCCTCCTAAAGTGTTGGCATTACAGGCATGAGCCACCAAGCATGCATAGATTTTTTTATTTCTTCTTTGTTCTTTTTCTTTTTTCTTTTTTTCAAGACAGAGTCTGGCCCTGTTGGCCATGCTGGAGTGCAGTGCTGTGATCATGGCTCACTGCAGCCTCCACCTCCTGGGCTCAAGCGATCTTCCCACTATAGCCTCCGGAGTAGCTGGAACTACAGGTGCATGCCAACACCTGGATGTGCAGTGCATCCAACAATTTTTTGTAGAGACGGGGGTCTCACAGTGTTGCCCAGGCTGGTCTTGAAATCCTGGTCTCAAGCGATCCTCCCACTTTGGCCTCCTAGAGTGCTGGGATTTCAGGCATGAGCCACTATGCTGAGCCTGGGTTTTTTTTGTTTTTTTTTTTAAATACCATAAAGTCTATTGATTTTTTTTTTTTTTTTTTGAGACAGAGTTTTGCTCTGCCACCCAGGCTGGAGTGCAGTGGCATGATCTTGGCTCACTGCAACCTCCTCCCCCCGGGTTCAAGCGATTCTCCTGCCTCAGCCTCCCGAGTAGGCTCACTGCAACCTCCTCCCTCCAGGTTCAAGCAATTCTCCTGCCTCAGCCTCCCGAGTAGCTGGGATTATAGGTGTGCGCCATCATGTCCAGCGAATCTTTGTATTTTTACTTTTATTTTTATTTTTTTTTTTTGAGATGGAGTCTCGTTCTGTCACCCAGGCTGGAGTGCAGTGGCATGATCTCAGCTCACAGTAACCTCTGGCTTCCGGGTTCAAGTGATTCTCCTGCCTCAGCCTCCTGAGAAGCTGGGATTACATGGGGATTACACCCCCATGCCCGGCTAATTTTTTGTGTATTTTTAGTAGAGATGGGGTTTCACTATGTTGGCCAGACTGGTCACGAACTCCTGACCTCATGATCCGCCCGCCTTGGCCTCCCGAAGTGCTGGGATAAGAGGCATGAGCCACCGTGCCCGGCCTTTGTATTTTTAGTAGAGAAGGGGTTTCACCATGTTGGCCAGGCTGGTCTCAAACTCCTGACATCAGGTGATCCACCCGCCTCAGATTCCCAAAGTGCTGGGATTACAGAAGTGAGCCACCGAGCCTGGTTAATGATATTTTTTAACATCTTATTTCCTTCTCATAGTGCTTAGTACACTGCCACATATCTAGGGGCTCTCCGGACGGACTGAGTGAGTTCTTGTTTCTTATTAAAGCAGATTTTCTATCAGGCAGGGAGACTTACACTTGGGGTTGTGACCTATGACCTGGAGATTGTGTCAAAGGCGTTTCAATAGCAAGTGAAGTATCTATGGCCGCAGCAGCCGTGAAAAGCGCAGGACCGTATCACGACAGCCACTTCTGCGCAGCACCAGGATGTTTTATATCTGTTTATAATCCCGAATGCTACATCAAAATTGTTTCTGTCTATTTTTGGTGCCCTATCAACCATGTCTGCCCGTTAGTTCCATGTATTGAGAGAACGGGCAGTGCAGTCACACCAGCAATCTACGTGTAGGGTTTCTGCCGTCTCAGCAGTTACGTAGGAAGAGGCACTTTTGGAGAGACTTCGGCGGGTCTGGGGAGACACTGTACAGAAGCTTCTTTGTGAAAGAGACGGCCGATAGCTTCTTTCCCCAGCACAGACAGCTGCATAGCCACGGCAGCCCCTGTAATCAACCCGGCAGCAGAGCTGTCTTTGTAGGTAGGTTTGTGAATGTGTGGACCAAATCCTTAATTTGGCCACCCCTATTGGCCACTCATTGCTCTCAAATTACCTGTCTGTCTTCACTGCTCCTCTCAGGAGACCCCTATGCTTACCAGTTCCACTTTCTCGACTTCCCTGAGCTTCAACCAAATGCAATCTGGCTTCCAACACCATTTCGAAACTCCTTTTGAAGGTCACTAATGACCTAATCGCTATATCCAATGGCTTTCCCTCAGTGCTAATCTGACTTATGTCTCTGCAGAATTTAATACGACTGACACCTCCTTTTATTCTTTTTTTTTTTTTTGATATGGAGTCTCACTCTGTCACCCAGGCTGAGGTGCAGTGGCGCAATCTCAGCTCACCACAACTTCCGCCTCCCAGGTTCAAGTGATTCTCCGGCCTCAGCCTCCTCAGTAGCTGGGATTACAGCCGCGTGCCACCATGCCCAGCTACTTTTTGTATTTTTGGTAGACACAGGGTTTCACCATTTTGGTCAGGCTGGTCTCAAACTCCTGACCTCATTATCTGCCCGCCTTGGCCTCCCAAAGTGCTGGGATTACAGGCGTGAGCCACTGTGCCCGGCCAACAGCTTCCCTTCTATTTGGAATGCGTGTCCCCTTTTACAACTCCTTCGTGGTCATTTTTACCTGGGTGATCCTTGGGTACCTGCGGATCCCTGATCCTCTGAACCAACATGTGCTAAAAGAACTTTGTCTTTCTCTGCATTCCATCAGCAAGTGTTCCTAGCATTCCCATTTTTTGTTAATATTCTCAGGGTGGAAAGATGGAAAGTCAATTTTTATTATAAGATCTTCAATCTGGGCCAGGTGCGGTGGCTCACGCTGGTAATCCCAGCACTTTGGGAGGCTGAGGTGGGAGGATCACCTGAGGTCGGAGTTCAAGACCAGCCTGGCTAATACGGTGAAACCCTGTCTCTACTAAAAATACAAAAATTAGCTGGGCATGGTGGGGCACACCTGTAATCCCAGCTACTTGGGGGGCTGAGACAGGAGAATCGCTCGAACCTGGGAGACAGAAGTTGTGGTGAGCCGAGATTGTGACATTGCACTCCAGCCTGGGCGACAGAGCGAGACTGTCTCAAAATTAAAAAAAAAAAAAAAGCCCTCTCCCTCTCCCTCTCCCTCTCCCCACAGTCTCCCTCTCCCTCTCTTTCCACGGTCTCCCTCTGATGCCGAGCCGAAGCTGGACTGTACTGCTGCCATCTCGGCTCACTGCAACCTCCCTGCCTGATTCTCCTGCCTCAGCCTGCCGAGTGCCTGCGATTGCAGGCGCGCGCTGCCATGCCTGACTGGTTTTCGTATTTTTTTGGTGGAGACGGGGTTTCGCTGTGTTGGCCGGGCTGGTCTCCAGCTCCTAACCGCGAGTGATCTGCCAGCCTCGGCCTCCCGAGGTGCCGGGATTGCAGACGGAGTCTGGTTCACTCAGTGCTCAGTGGTGCCCAGGCTGGAGTGCAGTGGCGTGATCTCGGCTCGCTACAACCTCCACCTCCCAGCCGCCTGCCTTGGCCCCTCAAAGTGCCGAGATTGCAGCCTCTGCCCGGCTGCCACCCTGTCTGGGAAGTGAGGAGCGTCTCTGCCTGGCCGCCCATCGTCTGGGATGTGAGGAGCCCCTCTGCCTGGCTGCCCAGTCTGGAAAATGAGGAGCGTCTCTGCCCGGCCGCCATCCCATCTAGGAAGTGAGGAGCGTCTCTGCCCGGCCGCCCATCGTCTGGGAGGTGAGGAGCGTCTCTGCCCGGCCGCCCCGTCTGAGAAGTGAGGAGCCCCTCCACCCGGCAGCCGCCCCGTCAGAGAAGTGAGGAGCCCCTCCGCCCGGCAGCCACCCCATCTGGGAAGTGAGGAGCGTCTCCGCCCGGCAGCCACCCCGTCCGGGAGGGAGGTGGGGGGGTCAGCCCCCCGCCCGGCCAGCCGCCCCGTCCGGGAGGTGAGGGGCGCATCTGCCCGGCCGCCCCTACTGGGAAGTGAGGAGCCCCTCTGCCCGGCCGCCACCCCGTCTGGGAGGTGTGCCCAGCAGCTCATTGAGAACGGGCCATGATGACAATGGCGGTTTTGTGGAATAGAAAGGGGGGAAAGGTGGGGAAAAGATTGAGAGGTTGGATGCTTGCCGTGTCTGTGTAGAAAGAGGTAGACATGGGAGACTTCTCATTTTGTTCTGTACTAAGAAAACTTCTTCTGCCTTGGGATCCTGTTGATCTGTGACCTTACCCCCAACCCTGTGCTCTCTGAAACATGTGCTGTGTCCACTCAGGGTTAAATGGATTAAGGGCGGTGCAAGATGTGCTTTGTTAAACAGATGCTTGAAGGCAGCATGCTCGTTAAGAGTCATCACCACTCCCTAATCTCAAGTACCCAGGGACACAAACACTGCGGAAGGCCTCAGGGTCCTCTGCCTAGGAAAACCAGAGACCCTTGTTCACATGTTTATCTGCTGACCTTCCCTCCACTATTGTCCTATGACCCTGCCAAATCCCCCTCTGCGAGAAACACCCAAGAATGATCAATTTAAAAAAAAAAACAAAAAAAACACAAAAAAAACATTATATTATCGACTATACCTTAAATTATAATAAAATGTTATATATGTAATGGTAAAAAAAAAAAAAAGAGCTGCAATCTGATCAGCTGCTTGTGGCTTCCCTCTATAGTGCTATTCCTATTTATCCTTTCCTTTCTATTTTCATTGCTCCCACGTATTACGTTTGGTTATCCTCCTCTTTAATCATTGCTATGGAATATTTGTTAATATTTCTGAAATATAACTATGATGACATCATCCTCCACGCAAAATCATACAGCTCCCTTGGCCACAAAATAGGATGCAAGATTGGGTGCGTTGGTGCAAGCCTGTAGTTTCCCAACTACTTGGGAGGCCAAGGTGGGATTGCTTGAACTCAGTTTAAGGCCAGTCTGTGCAACGTGGCAAGATCCCTCCCTCTCCCCACTTTATTTTTTGAGACAGGGTCTCGCTCTGTTACCCAGGCTGGAGTCCACTGGTGCAATCACAGTTCACTGCAGCCTCAACCTCCTGGACTCAGGAGATCCTCCTGCTTCAGCCTCTGAAACTGCTAAGATATGGCTCAGGCCTGTCATCCCAGCACTTTGGGAGGCCGAGGTGGGCAGATCACGAGGTCAGGAGATCGAGGCCACCCTGGCTAACATGGTGAAACCCCGTCTCTATTAAAAATACAAAAAATTGGCCGGGTGTGGTGGCATGTGCCCGTAGTCTCAGCTACTTGGGAGGCTGAAGCAGGAGAATTGCTTCAACCCGGGAGGTGGAGGTTGCAGTGAGCCGAGATCACGACACTGCACTCCAGCCTGGGCAACAGAGCGAGATGCCGACTCAAATAAAAAAAAAAAAAAACGTTTTTATAGACATGGAGTCTCGCTATGTTGCCCAGGCTGGGCTCAAGTCATCCTTCCGCATGGGCCTCCCAAGCGCCAGAAGCTGAAGCAATGTTCACTGAGTTATTCCTGCCTCCACAATCTTTATTTGATCTTGGTCCAACTCTTCTGTACCATGTACTCCACACCACCCTCATCTAACAAATTCCCTGCTCCTATTCATAGTGGGCCTAGGGAGGGAAAAAGGTTAAACAGGAGAAGACAAAGATCAGTGTGAGGGGAAAGTTGAGGCGTGAAAACTGGAGCTCCCCTGTCCCTGACAACTGTAACAGGGCCCAGTTCGTTTTTTTTCTTTTTCTTTGTTTTGAGACAGAGTTGTGCTCTTGTTGCCCAGGCTGGAGTGCAATGGTGTGCTCTCGGTTCACTGCACCCTCCCACTCCCGGGTTCAAGCGATTCTCCTGCCTCAGCCTCTGGAGTAGCTGGGATTACAGGCATGCACCACCACGCCCAGCTAATTTTTGTATATATATATAATTTTTCTTTTGAAACACAGTCTCACACTGTCGCCTGGGCTGGAGTGCAATGGGAGGATCTCGGCTCACTGTAACCTCCGCCTCCCGGGTTCAAGAGATTCTCCTGCCTCAGCCTCCTGAGTAGCTGGGATGACAGGCATGCACCACCATGCCAAGCTAATTTTTTGTATTTTTAGTAGAGACGGGGTTTCACTATATTGGCCAGGCTGGTCTCGAACTCCTGACCTTGTGATCCTCCCGCCTTGGCCTCCCAAAGTGCTGGGATGACAGGCATGAGCCGCCGCGCCCGGCCAGGGCCCGGTTCGTTACCCTGAGTCTAAAAGTGTCTGAAAAAGGCCCATGACCAGGCTTGGCCGAGAAAACTAGGACGTGGGCTGGGCGCGGTGGCTCACCCCTGGAATCCCAGCGCTTTGGGAGGCCGAGGGGGGGCGGATCATCTGAGGTCGGGAGTTCGAGACCAGCCTGGCCAACATGGTGAAACCCCATCTCTATTAAAAATACAAAAGCTGGGGGTGGTGGCGGGGGCCTGAAATCCCAGCTACTCGAGAGGCTGAGGCAGCAGAATCACTTGAACCCGGGAAGGCGGACGTTGTGGTAACCCGAGATCGCACCACTGCACTCCAGCCTGGGGAACAAGAGGGAAACTCCGTCTCAAAAAGAAAAAAGAAAAAAGAAAAAAGAAAAGAAAACCAGGGCGCGGTAGTGACAGCCTCAGATTTCGGGAAAGAAGACCTGCCATGACAGAAACCGTTACAGCCTCCGTCGTTCTTTTCCGCAGGTCGGGCCTCGGGCCCCGGTCTGACCCAGGTCTCTCGCTGGCTTTTTTCAGGAGCAGTCCCGGCCGGCCCCGCCTCAGCCCTTCTCGTTCCCCGGGGGCCGCTCCCTTTCGGCAGTCGCAGTTCCCGCCTCTGGGCTCCGGCGCCCGCTGAGCCGACAGAGGAGAGGCGTCTCGTGCGCTCGTTCCAGCCGCTTCGGGCGCCGAGTTCCAGGACCCGCCCCCCGCGCCAGTTGCCAGGGAGCGGTTGCCATAGAGCTGAGCAGTTGTCCGCGTGCGCAGGCGGAAGTCCCGGATTGAGGCGCCGCCATTTT